>NC_000023.11:35294980-35445337 GCF_000001405.40 Homo sapiens
CCAATATACATGATATCATGTAGCATTTCTCTTTCTGTATCTTTCTTATTTCACTTAGTGTAATGTCCTCCAGGTTCATTCATGTTTTCATAAATGGCAGGATTTTTGCTTTTGTTGTCTGTGCTGGTGTTATATCCAGAAAATTATTGCCAAGACCAATGTCAATGAAGTCTTTCCCAATATTTTCTTCTGGGGGTTTTATACATCTTGTTTTATGTTTAAGTCTTTAATCCATATTGAGTTGATTTTTGCGTATGGTGAAACAAATGTCTAATTTTATATTTTTCCCATATGGATATTCAGTTTTCCCAACACCTTTTGTTGAAGAGACTGTCTCTTTCCTTATGGTATATTCTTGGCATCCTATAGAAGGTCAATCGACAAATATGTGGGGGTTCTCTATTCTATTTTGTCTATATATCTGTTTTTATGCCACTATCATAATTTTTATTACCATAGCCTTGTAATATAATTTGAAGTTAGGAAGTGTCAGGCCTCCAGCTTGGTTCTTGCTCAAGATTGCCTTGGCTATTGGGGTCTTTTGTTGCTCCCTATGAATTTTAGAATTGTTTCTTTTCTATTTCTGTAAATAATCTCCTTGGGATTTTATTTTTAGAGACAAGGTCTTGCTAATTTTCCCAGGCTAAACTCAAACTCCTGGGCTCAAGTAGCTGGAATTACAGATGCACAAATGTTTTAGGCTATCATTGGGATTTTGATAGGGATTGCATTGATTTTTAGATCACCTTAGGCAATATGGATATTTTGTTAATATTTCTAATGTATGAACATAGATATCTTTCTACGATTTGTGTCTCTTGAAACTTGCTTCAGCAATGTTGTGTCATTTTCAGTGTACAAGTCTTCCACCTCTTTGGTGAATTCTCAAGTAGTATTTTTTTGTGGGGGATTTTTTTTTCTCAACTTCCATTTAAAAAAAATTTTTTTAAGAGATGGTGGTCATGCTATGTTGCCCATTCTAGTCTTGAACTCCTGGGCTCAAGTAATCCTCCCGCCTCGGCCTTCCAAAATGCTAGGACTATAGGCGTGAACCATCACACCAGGCCCTCAATTTCCATTTTAAATAGTTTATTATCAGTGTATGGAAACACCACTGATGCTTGTATTTTGATTTAGTATCCTGCAACTTTATTGAATTTATTAGGTCTAACAATTTTTTTTTTTTGGTGGTGTCTTTAGTATTTTCTATGCATCTGCTCATGTCATCTGCAAACAGAACTAATTTTACTGATTTGGATTTTTTTTTAATTTCTTTTTCCTGCCTAATTCCTCTGCCTAGGACTTCTAGTATTTATTATGTTTGAAGATCAGTAGTGAGAGTGAGCATTTATTTCTTGTTCCAGATTTTAGCAAAAAAGGTTTCAGTTTTTCCCTATTGATTATGATGCTATATGTGGGTTTTTCTTATATGACCTTTACTGTTTTTATGTAAGTTTCTTTTATACTTATTTTGTTGAGAGGTTCTTTTTTTAATGAATGTAAAATTTGCCTGGTGCTTTGTATGCATCTATTAAGATGTTCATGTGGTTTTCATTCTGTTAATATGGTGTGTCACATTGATTTGCTTTTATTTGTTAAACCATCCCTTTATCCCAGGAATAAATTTCACTTGATCATTGTGTATTATCCTTTTAATGTGCTGTTGAATTTAGTTTGCTAGGAGTTTTTTAGGGATTTTCACATCTATGTTTATCACGGATATTGGCTTGTAGTTTTCTTTTCTTTTGTTGTATTTGCCTGGCTTAGGAACTAAGGTGATGCTACATTATAAAATGAGTTTCAAAGTGCTCCCTCTCTTATTTTTGGAAAAGTTTAAGAAAGAGTGGTATTACTTTTTCTTTCAATGGTAAAATTTACTTGTGCAGTAAATTTACTTGTGATTCTGTCTCCTTGCTTTTTACTGCTCTCTTCTTGTTTTCTATTTCTCCTTAATTCAGTCTCATTAGGCTTAATTTCATTTTTTTTACACATGGACATTAATTATTACTGCATCATTTGCTGAAAATGTCTATCTTTCTCCATTGGACTGCCTTCGTGCCTTTGTGAAAATCAGTTGACTGTATTTGTTTAGGTCTATTTCTAAGTTCTCTATTCTATTTACCTATGTATCTATTATTTAACCAATACTACACTATCTTGATTACTGTAGCTTTATGCTAACTCTTGAATCTGGATAATGTGAGTCATCCAACTTTGTTCTCTCATTTTTCAGATTTTTTTTATTTTAGCACCTTCATCATGCCACATTCATTTTAGAATAAGCTTGTCAATATCCATAAACATTCAGCTTTTCAAATTCTATAAACAATATAGAGTGTTGTTTGAAATAACATTGATTCTGAAACTAGGGAAAATTGACATTTTTACATCAGTGAATCTTGCAATGCATGAACAAGGGTATATTTCTCTATGTGTTTAGAATTTCTTTGATTTCTTTCATCAGTGTTTTGTAGTTTTCTACATAAAAATCCTGAATATAATTTACTAGACTTATATTGAAGTACTTCATTTTATCATACAATTGTGAATGGTATAATTAGATTTAATTTAAATTTCAGTGTTATTTGCTGGGTTATACAAATACAATTTATTTTATATTAACCTTACATGATTTATAGTGACCTTGCATCAAGTGACCTTGCCAAAGTCACTTGTCAGTTCTTAGAGTTTTGCTGTAGACTCTTTGGGATTTTGACATTCACATTATCTGAAAATAAGGACAGTTTTATTTCTTTCTTTCCAATCTAGATCTCATTTATTTTATTTTTCTTGCCCTATTATTCTAGGTAGTACTTCCAATAAAATGTTGAATAGCGAGGGTCAGAAAAGAAAGTTTTGCCTTATATCTGATCTTAGTGTGAAAGCATTCAGTCTACTCTCTGGGGTATTGTTAGCTCTAGGTTTTACTTCATTTTATAATTTTGTATCTCCTATTAGGTTAAGGAAGCTCCCTTATATAACTCGTTCTTGAGGATTTTTACCATGAATGGATATGGCATATTGTCAAATAATTTTCTGCATCTGTTGATATGATTATACGGGTTTTATATTTAATGGGCTAATATGCTGAAATAAATTAATTAATTTTTGTATGTTAAAATGTTCTTGAATATCTGTGATGAACCCCACATGGTATTATCATTTCATATGTTACTGGATTTAATTTGCAGATATTTTATTCTGATTCTTGCATCTATGTTAGAGATATTGGTAGGTAGTTGGTGCTTTTAATGTATTTTTATGCTTTTGGTCTCAGGATACTACTGGCCTTGTAAAATGAATTGCGAAGTATTATCTTCCCTCTTATTTTCTGAAATAGATTGTATAGAAATGGTATAGTTTATTTTTTAAACTGTTGGTAATAATATTACAGTAAAACCATTTGAGACTTCAGTTTCCTTTCTTGGAAAGGTTTTAACTACAATTAAAAAAAATAGATTTAGGGCTATTCAAGTTACCTATTTATTTTGAGTGATTTTTGATACTTTGCGTTTTTCATGATTTTGGTCTATATAAAGGCATACAGTTAAATAGCATTTCCTTACTATTACTTTAATGTTAGAGGAATCAGTATTTGTCCCCTTTTTAAGATTTCTGATATTGTTTATTTATGTTTTACATTATTCATTTATTTATTTATTTTCTGTAGAGATAAAGTCTATGTTGTGCAGGCTGGTTTTGAACTCCTGAGCTCAAGCGATCCTCCCTCCTTGGCCTCCCAAAGAGCTGAGATTACAGGCGTGAGTCACCACACATGGCCACCTCTTTTACTCTTGATTAATATAGGTCAAGTTTTATTTTTATTTTCATGTTTTCAAATAATTCACTTTAGTTATTATTCATCTTTTCTCTATTGATTTCTTCTCTAATTTTTGTTACCTCTGGTTCACTTTGCTTTGCTTTGCTAGTTGGCTAAGATGAAAACTTGCAATCTGCATTTAAACAAACCTCTAATGTTTGCAAACTTTTAGAATGGATGGATTACATGATCAACTTCCTGTTTTTCTGTTATGTGGTCCCCTGAAGATTGATCAAGCCCCCAAACTTTATTTCACAATGCTGTTATTTTAGTAATCATGGATGACAGGACCTCCTTCTACTTTTACACAATGCCACTTTATACACATGCCCTAAACCAAATATACACAGGATATTCCAATAAAATGTTAAGCTTTTGGTGGAGGCGGAGCAAGGTGGCTGAATAGAAGCTTTCACTGATCGTCCTCCCTGCAGGAACACCAAATTTAACAACTACCTACACACAAAAAAAACCCTTCATAAAAAAACAAAAATTATGTGTGCAATAACTGTACCTGGTTTTAACTTTATATTGCTGAAAGATGCTGTGAAGAAGGTAGGAAAGACAGTCTTGAATTACTATCACCAGCCCTCCTCCATCTTCTGGCAACAGCCTCATGGCATGGAGAGAGAACCCATGCACTTGAGGAACGGAGAGCACAGTGATTGTAGGGAAATTACCCATCCTAATGGTCAGAACTTGAGTTTCAGGAAGCATTGCCACTGCAGGATAAAGCACTCTGTGAACCTAAATAAACTAGAAAAGCAGTCTATGCCATAAGGGCCACAACTACTAGATAGACCCGGGGCTGTGCTGGGCTTGGGGCCAGTGAACCCGGGGGGCATGCGACCTAGTGAGACACCAGCCAGGGCAGCTAAGGGAGTGTTTGTGCCACCCCCGCCTTAACCCCATGCAACACAGCTTGCAGCTGTAAAAGAGACTCCTTCCCTCTGCTTGAGAAAAGGATAAGGGAGAGTAAAGAGGATTTTGTCTTTCAACTTGGATAGCAGCTCAGCTACAGTAGGAATGGGCAGAAGTGTGAGGCACCCATTCCAGGTCTTAGCTCCTGCGTGACATTTACAGACAGATGCTGGGCCAGAAGGAAAACTGCTGCCTTGAAGGCAAGGACTCAGTTATGAAAGGATTCATCGCCTGCCCTCTAAAGGGCCCTTGGGCCCTAAATAATTAGCAGCAGTACCAAGGCAGTACTCCCTGTGGGCCTCTGAGGAGACTCAGAGCTGTGCTGGCTTCAGGTGTGATCCACCACATTCCTAGTTGTGATAGCTACAAGAAAAGTCTCCTTCTGCTTGAGAAAAGCAGAGAGAAGATTACCTGATTCCAGGATGTGGTCCTTGGACAGCATTTCTGGACCTGCCTGGGCCAGAAGGGAGCCCACTGCCCTGAAGGATGACCATTCACCACAAGCTGACTGAAGAACCTTGGACCTTAAGTGAACATCAGCAGTAGCCCACCAGTACACCCTGTGAGCCTATGCTAGTAGTGGCACTGAGGAGAGACTCCTCTGCCTGTGAAAAGGAAAGGGTGAAAGACTTTGAGCTGTGGTTTGAGTGCCAGCTTGGCAGCAATGAAAAAGAGAACCAGATAGATTTCTAAGGTTAGCAGTACCAGGCCCTGGCTCCAGGACAGCATCTCTGGAACACCTGTGGCCCGAGGGAACTTGCCAAACTAAAGGGAAGGGCACAAGCCTGGCTGGCTTAATCACCCGCAAATTGCAGAGTGTTGGGGCTTTCAGTGAACATAGGCAGTAGCAAGATGGTGGTTACAGCAGAGCTTGGGTGAGATGTGGCGCTTTGCTGGCTTCAGGTCTGACCCAGTGCAGTCCTAGTGGTCATGGCCATAGGAGTTCTTTTTCACTGCTTCCCCAGCTGCAAGTATCTCGGCACAGAGAGAGAGACTCCATTTGCGAGAAAGTTAGGGAAGAGAAGAAGAGTTTCTGCTAGGAAATCCAGATAATTATTCCATATCTTATCCAAGATTAACAAGGCGGTACCTCTATGCATCTGAAAGAGTCACAGTGTTACTGGGCTAGGGGTCCCCCTGAATGCAGGTACAGCTGCAATGACCGAACACTTAGATCACAACACCTAAGTCCGTTTAAATACATGGAAAGGCTTTCCAAGAAGGATAGGTAAAAACAAGCCAAGACTGCAAAGATTAAAATAAATTCCTAACTCTTCTATACCCAGACACTGACAAACATCTACAAGCACCAAGATTATCCAAGAAATTATGACCTCAACAAACAAACTTAATAAGGCACCAGGAGGCAATCCTAGAGAAACAGAGATATGTAACATTTCAGATAGAGAATTCAAAATAGTTGTTTTGAGGAAACTCAAAGAAACTCAAGACAACACAGAAAAGGAATTCAGGATTCTATCAGATAAATGTAACAAAGATTAAAATAATTAAAAGAAATCAAGTAGAAATTCAGGAGCTGAAAACTGCAATTGGTATATTGAAGAATACATCAGAATCTCTTAATAGTAGAATTGACCAAGCAGAAGAAAGAATTAGTAAGCTTTAAGACAGGCTATTTGAAAATACAGTCAGTGGAGACAGAAGAAGAAAAGAAAAAAAAAAAAAGAAGCACCCCTATGAGGTCTAGAAAATAGCCTCAAAAGGGCAAATCTAAGAGTTATTGGCCTTAAAGAGCAGGTAGAGAGGAAAATAGAGTAGAATGTTTATTCAAAATGATAATAGAGAATTTCCCAAACCTAGAGAAAGATATCGATATTCAAGTACAATAAGGTTACAAAACACCAAGCTGATTTAACCCAAAGAAGACGACCTTAAGGCACTTAATAATCAAATTGCCAAAGATCAAGGATAAGGAAATAATTCTAAAAGCAGCAAGAGACCAAACCTATGACTCTGGCATTCCTGAAAGAGACAAAGAGAGAGCAAGCAAGCAACTTGGAAAACATATATAAAATTATTGTCCATGAAAATTTTCCCAAGCTTCCTAGAGAGGTCAGTATGCAAATTAAGAAAATTCAAAGAACCCCTGTGAGATACAATACAAGACGACCATCCAAAAGACACATAGTCATTAGATTACCCAAAGTTAATGCAAAAGAAGAAATTATGAAGGAAACTAGAGAAGGGGCAGATTACGTACAAAAAAATTTCCATCAGGCTAGTAGCGGGCCTTTCAGAAGAAACCTAACAAGCCAGGAGAGATTGGAGGCCTATATTCTGCACACTTAAATGAAAAACATTGTATTCAATAATTTAATATCCAGCCAAACTAAGCTCCATAAGCAACAAGAAACAAAATCCTTTTTAGACAAGATAATGATAAGGGAATTTGTTACCAGCAGACAGCCTTACAACAGGTCCTTAAGGGAGTGCTAAACATGGAAATTAAAGACCTGTATCCACCACCACAAACAAACAAAAAAAAATTTAAAGCAACTATACTACAAGCCTATATAACAACCAACTAACAACATGATGACAGGATCAGATCCTCACATATCAATATTAACCTTGAATGTAAATGGGCTAAATGCCCCATGTAAGAGACACATAGTGGAAAGTTGAAAAAATATGCAAAACACAACTATATACTGTCTTCAAGAGACCCATCTCATGTGCAACCACACCCGTAGTCTCAAAGTAAAGGGATGAAGAAAGCCCTTTGAAGCAAACAGCAAATACACAAAAAAAGGAGAGGTTGCTATTTTTATTGCAGACAAAACAGACTTTAAACCAATAATCATCAAAAAGAGAAGCAAAGGAATTATATAATGATAAAGGTTTCAATTCAACAAGAAGACATAACTATCTTAAAAATATATACACTCAACAGTGGAGCACCCAGCTTCATAAAACATTCTTGGAGACAAATGAAGAGACACAAATTATTACACAATAATAGTGGAAAACCTCACAACCCCACTAACAGTGTTAGACAGATCATTGAAACAGAAATCTGGTAGTAATCCTAGCAAAAATATTCCAAAAACTCTGGGAGGGGGGACTCTTCCCTACCTTATTGTATAGGGCCAGCATTGTTCTTACACCAAAACCTGGCAGAGACACACATAAAAGAAAACATCAAATATCCCTGATAAACATAAACACAAAATTCCTTAACAAAATACTGGCAATTTGAATCCAGCAACACATCATAAAGCCAATGCACCATGATCAAGTGTGCTTTATTCCTAGGATGCAAGTGTGGTTCATCGTAGGTAAATCAATAAATGTGATATATCACATAAACAAAACTAGAAACAAAACTACATGATCAACTCAATAGATGTACAAAAGGCTTTTGATAAAATCAAATACTCCTTCATGTTAAAAACCCTCACCAAACTAGAAGTTGAAGGAAAATACCTCAAAATACTAGATATATCTATGACAAACCCACAGCCAACACCATGCTGACGAGCCAAAAGGTGAAAACATTTCTGGTGACAACCAGGACAAGACAAGGAGGCCCACTTTTATCACTCTTCTTCAACATAGTACTGGAAGTGTCAGTCAGAGCAATCGGGAAAGAGAAACAAATAAAAGAGATACAAATGGGAAGAGAGGAAGTCAAACTATTTCCCTTTACAGGTGATAAGATTCTATACCTAGACAACCCCATAGCCTCTGCTCAAAGGCCCTTCAAACATATAAATGATTTCAGTGAAGTTTCAGGATACATAATCAGTTGGGCAAAAATCAGTAGCATTTTAATACACCAATAATGTCCAAGCAGAGAGCCAATTCAAAAATGCAATTCCATTCACAATAGCCACACACCAAAAAAAAAAAAAATGTCTAGGAATACAGCTAGCCAGGGATGTGAAGGATATCTACAGCAAAAATTACAAAACGGTGCTGAAAGAAATCAGAGAAAACAAAAATAAACAAAAAGTAATCCCATGCTCACTGACAGGAAGAATCAGTATTGTTAAAATGACCATACTGCCCAATGCAATTTACAGATTGAATCCTATTTGTATCAAACTACCAGTATCATTTTCCACAGAATTAGGAAAAAAAAATTATTCTAACATTTATAATGAACCAAAAAGGAACCTGAACAGACAAAGCAATTATAAGCAAGAAGAACAAAGCCAGAAGTATTATGCTACCCAATTTCAAACTATGCAACAAGGCTACAGTAACCAAGACAGCACGATATTTGAAGTGGTTTGGCTGTGTCCTCAAACAAATTGCATCTTGAATTGTAGTTCCCATAATCCCCACATGTCATGGGAGGAACCCAGTGGAAGGTAATTGAATCACGCAGGCAGCTACCCTCATGCTGTTCTCATAATAGTGAGTTCTCTCAAGATCTGATGGTTTTATAAGGGGCTTTCTCCACCTTCACTCTCGTTCTTCTCATTTTTTTTTTTTTTTTGAGACAGAGCCTTGGTCTGTTGCCCAGGCTGGAGCACAGTGGTACAATCTCGGCTCACTGCAAGCTTCGCCTCCCGGGTTCATGCCATTCTCCTACCTCAGCCTCCTGAGTAGCTGGGATTACAGGCGCTGGCCACCATGCCTGGCTAATTTTTTGTATTTTTAGTAGAGACGGGATTTCACAGTGTTAGCCAGGATGGTCTCAATCTCCTGACCTTGTGATCCGCCCACCTTGGCCTCCCAAAGTGCTGGGATTACAGGTGTGAGCCACCATGCCTGGCCTCATTCTTCTCATTTTTGCCACCAAGTGAAGAATGTGCTTGCTTCCCCTTATGCCTTGACGATAATTTTCTTGAGGCCTCCCACCCCTGCAGAACTATGAGTCAATTAAACCTTTTTCCTTTATAAATTACCTAGTCTCAGGTATTTCTTCATAGCAGCATAAGAATGGACTAATACAGTACATTGGTACTGGGTAGTGGAGCATTGTTGTAAAGATACCCAAAAATATGGAAGCAACTTTGTAACTGGGTAACAGGCAGAGGTTGGAATAGTTTGAAGGGCTCAGAAGAAGACAGAAAAATGTGGGAAAGTTTGGAACTTCCTTGTTGAATAGCTGTGACCAAAATGCTGTTAGTGATATAGACAATGAAGTCCAGGTTGAGGTAGTCTCAGAGGGAGACAAGGAACTTGTTGCGAACTGGAGTGAAGGCAATTCTTGCTATGTTTTTGCAAAGAAACTGGCAGCATTTTGCCCCTGCCCTAGAGATCTGTGGAACTTTGAACTTGAGAGAGATGATATAGGGTATCTGGTAGAAAAAATTTATAAGCAGAAAAGCATTCAAGAGAAAGCAGAGCATAAACATTTGGAAAATTTGCAGCCTGACAATGTGGTAGAAAAGAAAAACCCATTTTCTGGGAAGAAATTCAAGCCAAATGCAAAAATTGGCATAAGTAACAAGGAGCTGAATGTTAATCACCAAGACAATGAGAAAAATGTCTCCAGGGCATGTGAGAGACCTTCACAGAAGACTCTCCTATCACAGGCCTAGAGGCCTAGGAGGAAAAAATGGTTTCCTGGGCCAGGTCCAGGGAGCCCTGCTGTGTGCAGCCTCAGGACTGTGTCTCAGCTACTCCAGCCATGGCTAAAAGGGGTCAAAGAACAACTCAGGCCAGTGCTTCAGAGGGTGCAAGCCCCAAGCCTTGGCAGCTTCCATGTGGTGTTGGTTCTGCAGATGCACAAAAGACAAGAATTAAAGTTGGGGAACCTTCACTTAGATTTTAGAGAATGTATGGAAATTCCTGGGTGTCCAGGTGTAAGTTTTCTACAACAGCAGAGCCCTCATGGAGAACCTCTGTTAGGGCAGTATGGAGGAGAAATGTGGGGTCAGAGCCTCCC
This sequence comes from Homo sapiens, assembly GCF_000001405.40. Classification (NCBI taxonomy): domain Eukaryota; kingdom Metazoa; phylum Chordata; class Mammalia; order Primates; family Hominidae; genus Homo; species Homo sapiens. The sequence goes on from NC_000023.11 coordinate 35,305,585, forward strand.
ATACAGTGTCCCCACTGGGGCACTGCCTAGTAGAGATGTGAGAAGATGGTCATCATTCTCCAGACCCCAGAATAGTAGATCCACTGATACCTTGCACCATGCACCTGTAAAAGCCACAGACACTCAACACCAGCCCATGAAAGCAGCCTGAAGTGGGGCTGTACCTTGCAAAGCCACAGGGGCAGAGCTGCCCAAGGCCATGGGAGACCACCTCTTGCATCAGTGTGACCTGGATGTGAGACGTGAAATCAAAGCAGATCATTTTGGAAATTTAAGGCTTAATGACTACCCTATTGGATTTTGGACTTGCATGGGGCTTGTAGCCCTTTGTTTTGGCCAGTTTTTCCCATCTGGAATGGGTGTACTTATCCAATGCCTGCACTCCCATTATATCTAGCATGTATCTAACTTGCTTTTGATTTTATAGGCTCATAGGCAGAAGGGACTTGTCTTGTCTCAGATGACACTTTGGACTTGGACTTTTGAGTTAATGCTGGAATGAGTTAAGATTTTGGGGGACTGTTGAAAGGGCATGAATGGGTTTTGAAATGTGAGGACATGGGATTTGGGAGGGGCCAGAGGCAGAATGATATGGTTTGGCTGTGTCCACACCACAGTGTCCTCACTAGGGCACTGCCTAGTAGAGCTGTGAGAAGATGGCCACTATCCTCCAGACCCCAGAATGGTATATCTACTGATAGCTGCATTGTATTCCTGGAAAAGCTGCAAGCACTCAATGCCAGCCTGTGAGAGTAGCCGAGGGGGTGAACTTTGCAAAGCCATTGTGGCAGAGCTTCCCAAGACCTTGGGAACACAAACTTCACACCAGTATTCCCTAGATGTGGGACTTGGAGTCAGTGGAGATTGTTTTGAAGCTTTAAGATTTAATGACTGCCCTGTTGGGTTTCAGACTTGTATGGGGGCCTGTAGCCCCTTTCTTTTAGCCAATTTCTCCTTTTTGGAAAGGGAATATTTACCCAATGTTTGCATTTCCATTTATCTTTGAAGTAACTACTTGGTTTTGATTTTGCAGGCCAATAGGGGGAAGAGGCTTACATCGTCTCAGATAAGACTTTGGACTTTTGAGTTAATGCTGAAATGAGTTAAGACTTTGGGGATTATTGGAAAGGGATGATTGCATTTTGAAATGTGAGAAAGACAAGAGATTTGGGAGGGGCCTGGGTGAAATGATATGGTTTGGATCTGTGCCCCCACCCAAATCTCACACTGAATTGTAATCCCCAATGTTGGAGTTGGAAAATAATGGGAGGTCATTGAATCATGGAGGAGGATTTTTTAGGAATGTTTTAGTATCATTGCCTTGGTGTGTTCTCATAATAGTCAGTGAGTTCTCAGGAGATTTGTTTGTTTAAAAGTGTGTAGCACCTCCCCCACCATCTTGCTCCTACTCCAACTATGTGATGTGCATGCTCCCCCTTCACCTTCCACCATGATTGTAAGCTTCCTGAGGCAACCGAGAGGCCAAGAAACTGCCAGCATCGTGCTTCCTGTACAGCATTCATAACTGTGAACCAATTAAACCTCTTTTTTTTAAATAAATTACCCGGTCTCATGTATGTCTTCATAGCAATGTGAGAATGAACTAATATAATATTCCATGTTCATCAATTGAAAGAATCAATATTGTTAAAACATTCATGTTACCCAAAGCAATCTATAGATTCCAAGTAATCCATATCAAAATACCAACGACATCTTCACAGAAATAGAAAAAAATAATCTTAACATTTATTACAAAACTTTGTATTATTACAAAATACCCACAGTAGCCATAGCTATCTAGAGCAAAAAGAACAAAACTGCAGGAATCATGTTATCTGACTTCATATGATACCTCAGAGCTATAGTAACCAAAACAGAATGGTAGAGGCACGCAGATCAATGAAACAGAATAGAGAACCCAGAAATAAATCAATACATCTCCGGTGATCTCATTTTTGATGAAGGTATCAAGAACATAAATTGGAGAAAGGATAGTCTCTTTAATAAATTGTGGTAGGAAAACTGGAAATCCACATGCAGAAGAATGAAACTATACCCCTATCTGTTGCCATATGCACAAATCAAATCAAATGGATTGAAAATTTAAATCTAAGACCTCAAACTATGAAACTACTAAGAAGAATTCATTAGGAAAATTCTCTAAGACATTGGTCTGGGCAAAGATTTATTGAGTAACACCCCAAAGCATGGGCAACTAAAACAAAAATGAACAAATAGGACCACCTTATGTTAAAAAGCTTCTGCATAGCAAAGGAAAAATCAATAAAGTGAAGAGACACAGAGTAGGAAAAATTATTTGCAAACTTGCCATTTGACAAGGGACTAATAACCAGAACATATAGGGAGCTCATACAACTCTATAGAAAAAAATCTAATAATCTAATTAATAAGAGGGTAAAACATCTGAATAGACATTTCTCAAAGGAATACATACACATGGCAAAGAGGTTTATGAAAAGGTATTTAACATTATTGACCATCAGACAAATACAAATTAAGTCTACAATGTGATATTATCTCATCTCAGTTAAAATTGTTTTTTTTTTTAATTATTTTATTGTTGTTGTTGTTTTAAGTTCTGGAGTACAGGTGCAGGTTTGTTACATAGGTAAACATGTGCCATGGTGGTTTGCTGCACCTAACAACCCATCACCTAGGTATTAAGCCCAGCAAGCATTAACTCTTTTCCCTAATGTTCTACATCCCTGCCCTCCCATGACAGGCCCCAGTAAGTATTGTTTCCCTCCCTGTGTCTATGTGTTCTCATTGTTCAGCTCCCACTATTAAGTGAGAACATGGCAGTGTTTGGTTTGCTGTTCCTGTGTTAGTTTGCTGAGGATAATGGCTTCTAGCTTCATTTATGTCCCTGCAAAGGATGTGATCTCATTCCTTTTTATGGCTGCATAGTACTACATGGTGTATATATACCACATTCTCTTTATCCAATCTATCACTGATGGGCATTTGGGTTGATTTCATGTCTTTGTTATTGTGAATAGTGCTGCAATGAACATACACGTGCATGTATCTTTATAAGATCCCACTATTAAGTGAGGACATGGCAGTGTTTGGTTTGCTGTTCCTGCGTTAGTTTGCTGAGGATAACGGCTTCTAGCTTCATTTATGTCCCTGCAAAGGACATGATCTCATTCCTTTTTATGGCTGCATAGTACTACATGGTGTATATATACCACATTCTCTTTATCCAATCTATCACTGATGGGCATTTGGGTTGATTTCACGTCTCTGTTATTGTGAATAGTGCTGCAATGAACATACACATGCGTGTATCTTTATAATAGAATTATTTATATTCCTTTGGGTACATACCCAGGAATGGAATTGCTGGGTCAAATGGTATTTCCAGTTCTTAATCTTTGTGGAATCACTGCACTGTCTTCCGCAATAGTTGAACTAATTTACAATCCCACCAATGGTGTAAAAGTGTTCCTATTTCTCTGCAACCTCGTCAGCATCTGTTTTTTTCAACTTCTTAATAATGGCCATTCTGACTGGAGTGAGATGGTATCTCATTGTGCTTTTGATTTACATTTCTCTAATGATCAGTGATGTTGGGCTTTTTTTCATGTTTGTTGGCTGCATGTATGTCTTCTTTTTAGAAGTGTCTGTTCATATTATTTGCTCGCTTTTTAATTGGGTCTTTTTTCTTGTTATTTGTTTAATTTCATTGTAGATTCTGGATATTAGACCTTTGTCAGATGGATAGATTGCAAAAATTTTCTCCCATTCTATAGGTTATCTGTTCGTTCTGATGATAGTTTTGTTTGTGGAAACTCTTTAGTTTAATTAGATCCCATTTGTCAATTTTTGGTTTCATTGCAATTGCTTTTGGCGATTTCATCATAAAAGTTTTGCCAATGCCTTTGTCCTGAATGGTATTGCCTAGGGGCAAAGAGATTTATGAAAAGGTGATCAACATTATTTATCAACAGAGAAATACAAATTAAGTCTACAATGTGATATTACCTCACCTCAGTTAAAATCGTTTTCAATAAAAGATAGTAACAACTGCTGAAAAGACATGGGGAAAAGAGAACCCTCACACACTGTAGTACAACCACTAGGGAGAACAGTTTGGAGGTACCTCAGAAAACTAAAAATATAACTACCATAAGATCCAGCAATCCTTTGGCTAGGTATATGCCTCAAAGTTAGGAAACCAGTATATCAAAGATATATCTACACTCCCTTGTTTATTGTAACACTAATCACAATAGCAAAGATTTAGAATCAACCTAAGTGCCCATAAGCAGATAAATGTAGAAATAAAATGTGGTACACATAGACAATGCAGTACCATTCAGCCTTAATAAGTAAAATGAGATCCTGTCAGTTGCAACAACATGGATGGAACTGGAGGACACAATGTTAAGTAAAATAAACCAGGCACAGAAAGACATACTTCACATGTTCTCACTCATTTGTGGGAGTTAAAATTAAAAAAAAATTGTACGCATACAGATAGAGAGTAGAAGGATGATTACCAGAGGCTAGGAAGTGTTATAAGGAGGAAGTGAGGGAAACGGGAATGGTTAATGGGTACAAAAATGTAGTTAGATAGAATAAATACCATCTAATATTTGATACTCAAGAGTGTGACTACAGTCAACAGTAATTTATTGTACATTTTTAAATAACAAAAAGAATATGATTAGAATGTTTGTAACACAAAGAAATGATAAATGCCTGATGCCAAGACCAGCTCAGTCGCAGAGACCCTAACCCAGCGGCACTAGAGGAATTAAAGACACACACACAGAAATATAGAGGTGTGGAGTGGGAAATCAGGGGTCTCACAGCCTTCAGAGCTGAGAGCCCTGAACAGAGATTTACTCACATATTTATTAACAGCAAGCCAGTAATTAGCATTGTTTCTACAGATATTAAATGAACTAAAAGTATCCCTTATGGGAAACAAAGGGATGGGCCGAATTAAAGGAATAGGTTGGGCTAGTTATCTGCAGCAGGAGCATGTCCTTAAGGCACAGATTCCTCATGCTATTGTTTGTGATTTAAGAACCCCTTTAAGCAGTTTTCTGCCCTGGGCAGGCCAGGTGTTCCTTGACCTCATTCTGGTAAACCCACAACCTTCCAGAGTGGGCATCATGGCCATCATGAACATGTCACAGTGCTGCAGAGATTTTGTTTATGGCCAGTATTGGGGCCAGTTTATGGCCAGATTTTGGGGGACTTGTTCCCAACAGCCTAAGTTGATGGATACCCCAATTACCCTGATGTGCGTATTACATATTGCTTGCCTGTATCAAAATATTTCACATATTCCATAAATATATACACTTACCAAGTATCCATAAAAGTTAAAAATTTTTTTAAAAATAAAAATCTACTGTTCTGGCAATATTCCTTATTCTCATCAAGGTCATCATCATACAAGGAAGCTCAAATTCATTCTGTTTGCCTCATTCTCCCTATTTTATGTTGGGTGTTTTTAAATGGAGTCAATTCTCTTCCTTTATATCTTCATATCCTCAATCCTGCTGAACTTTTCCTAATGCTGGCCCTAATTATTTCTCCCTTGTTCTATGTAATTACTTCTTTACCTCTTTACTGCATTCACCTTATTTAACCTCAATTCTTTTTCAGACTACTGAATCCTCCAAACTAGTTTGCTAAAATAAAAATCTAATCTTATCACTTTCTTGTTAAAACTTTTTAGTTATCCATCATTTCCTGCAAAGGACTGGAATTTCTAGCTGGCAGAATTGTATATTTATGAGGAGTCTCTCACTTCAGCTCTTACTACTTGCTTCCTTTGTCATCCTAGGATCTAGCTGCTACTGAGCTATCTAAATTTCTATATATTTTCATCTCCATATTTTGCACATGTTATTTCTCAGCGGATTACCATTCCCCAGCTCCTGCATGAGTGAAACCTTAATTCCCCTCCTGACCCAGTTCAATAATCCTCTTTTCTATTATATTTATTTTCTACTGCCTCCAATCTTCAGACACAGTTGATTCCTCTTTCTTCTAAGCCAGATGTGTACCCAGAACACATTGTTATGAGTGGAAGTATCTGTATGGGTCTGTAGTAACTTCAGTCCTTGCCTCCTCAGAAGAAATAAGTTGACTGAGGGGCATAAAGCAGAAAAAGAGACCAAGGCAAGTTGCAGAGCAGGAGTGGAAGTTTATTTAAAAAGGCTTTAGAACAGAAAAGATAAGAAAATTCGCTTGAAAGAGACCCAAGTGGGTGTTATGTAGGTCCAAGAGAAAAAAGAGAGCAAAAGAAGACAGCAAAAAAGAAGGAGCCTTTAACCTTGATACTGGGACTTTATAGACTCACCTTTTTCCAACATGAGTCTTCCCTTAGGTTCGGCTTTCTGCATGCCCACAGCTTTCCTTACCCTTTGGAAGTGAGCATGAGCCGTGTGTTTAGGGAGTTATATGCCTGCCCGCCCGAGCCTTCCTTTTTCCAGTGGCATGTAACTGATGGCATCCACTTTGCTGTTTTTGTCTCTTAACATGCATGCCCAAGAAGTTGCTTCTTCCTGAGGCCTGCATTCAATTAACATTTTGATGTTAACAGGTGTGGACTATCAGGAAGTAGCCTCTCCCTGGCACTGCTGAATTATCATTTTTTAGAGGCAGTGTGATAATTGCTGAAACATCACCAGACATTTGTAGTGGGTGAGGGGAGAGCCCTCTCCTGCTTCCCTCATGCCTAACTACCTGTAACAACATCATTCTATTTTAATGATTGTTTTACCTGTTACTCTAACTACACTCTGAAAACTTTGAGTGGAAGTATGGTATCACATGTTATTACCAACACAAAACATGCCACTTGGCATACAGCAAATGGTTAATCAATGGTTGCTTAACAAATGGAGAAACTGAACATATGTTGTTTCTGTTTCAGTGGAAATATTGAGTGAGGTAGAAGATGGGATATGACTTTTATGTGCTGCTATGGGCTAAATTGTGTTCCCCCAAAATTTCTACATTGGGGTTTTAACCTCCAGTAGTTCAGAATGTGACTGTAATTGGATATGGGGCCATACAGAGGTGATTAAGTTAAAATGAGGCCATTAGGGGCACCAATCTAATTTGGCTGGTGTCCTTAGAAGAAAAAGAATTGTAGGCCAGGCATGGTGGCTCAAGCCTGTAATCCCAGCACTTTGGGAGGTCAAGACGGGTGGATCAGGAGGTTAGGAGATTGAGACCCTCCTGGCTAACACGGTGAAACCCCGTCTCTACTAAAAATACAAAAAAATTAGCCAGGCATGGTGGTGGGTGCCTGTAGTCCCAGCTACTTGGGAGGCTGAGGCAGAAGAATGGTGTGAACCTGGGAGGCGGAGCCTGCAGTGAGCCGAGATCGAGCCACTGCACTCCAGCCTGGGTGACAGAGCGAGACCCTGTCTCAAAAAAAAAAAAAAAAAAAAAATTGTAGACATCCAGAGAGGCACATGGACACAGAGAAAACCATGTAAGGACACACAGATCACCCTCTGCCCCTCTGCAAGCCAAGAAGCGTGGTCTCAGAAGAAACTAAGCCTGCCAACAATTTGATCTTGGGTTTCTGGATTCTAGATTGGCAAGAAATAAATTTCTGTTGTTTAAGCTACCTAATCTGTGGTATTTTGACACCCTTAGTAAACGAATGCATATGTGCATATGATAGTAGTAAGATTTATACAGTTTTATCCCTTATTGTGTTAGCTTCCTATGGCTGTTGTAACAAGTTACCACAGACTTTATGGTTTAATACAATAGATATTTGTTCACTCACAGTTCTGGAGGGCAAAAGCCCAAAATCAGTATTCCTGGTCCCAAATCAAGGTGCTTACAGGGCCATGACCTCTCCAAAGGCTGTAGAGGAGAAACTGGTTTTTGTTTCTTTTAGCTTCTTGTGGCCGTCAGAATTCCTTGGTCTTGTTTATCTAATCTCTGACTCTGGGGTCACATTGTCTAGTCTTCTGCTTGTAAAATTTCCCTCAACTTCTCTCTTATGAGTACATTTGTGATTTCATCTAGGGGCTACTTGGATAAACGAGGATATTCTCCCAATCTCAAGGTTCTAAATTTAATTATATCTGCAAGGCCTATTTTGCCATATATGGTAACAGTTTCAAGGGATTTAATCATAATATCTTCTTTGAGCATTATTCAGCCAAACACACCTGTTTTATTTATCCTTTTCTTTCTCACTCTCATTATTTTATTCTTTCTTTCCCTTCTCTTTATACTTTTTCTTCCTCTGTCTCTTCTCTCTCTTCCTTTCTTTTTGAGCTTCCTTCCCAATTTCTTTTTCTCTCTCCCTCTCTCCCTTCTTCTGAAAATGGTAAGGTATAAGAGGCTGAAAGGGGCTAAATTATTTTTCCAATTTTTTTCATAAGGTAATGGCAGAACAATGACAAAGAAACCTCTCAAGCCAGGTCTCTTTTCACTATATTACATAAGTGCTCTCTAGATTCATGTAAAATCAAAGAGAGCCAAGCTGTCATCATGACATTGAATGAAGCTCCTCATTACTATCTATGCACTGCTCTGCAATTACTACATCTTAAAAAATTAGTGGCACTTCATATTCTATTCTATCTCAGGCATAGAAAATGCTTGGCTGTGATGGTCATTAAAAGGACAGACATGAGTAATAGGAAACAGGTTTCGTTAATATGTGTGTCAAAAATTACAATATGCATGGATTGTCAACACAATAAGTGTTTCTCAAAATTGGCCACTCTTAATTTCAGTTACTAACTTGGTCTTTGTCATCCTTCAGCTGGATTCTCACAGCACCAAAATCAAAATGAAAATACTTTTAAAAATCTGTCAGTTCATTTTGTTTTGCTATACAATGCCATAAATGTGCAAGTTTTACCCCTGATTAATCAGTTATCTTGATGTAATGTAAACATATTCATAGTTATAATCTTATTTTTTATATTGACAAGTCAATATTTCAGGAAGCAGAACACTTCACTACCTTGAGGGCTTTGACAGCCTCTCTGTATCCTAGAAACAAGTTACTTAGCCTCAGTCCTACCCAGTAATATTAATACTAATAATAGATACTCTGTAGTATTTCACAGGGGATTATGAGGGCAAATTAAATGTCATTCAATGTATTTAGCATATCACTCTACCATGAATACTTGTTAAAGAAAGAGAAAGCCGGGGTCTAGTTCCGAGAACTAGTACAAAGCCTGTATTTCTTTTATTTTTTATTTATTTATTTTTTTTATTATACTTTAAGTTTTAGGGTACATGTGCACATTGTGCAGGTTAGTTACATATGTATACATGTGCCATGCTGGTGCGCTGCACCCACTAACTCGTCATCTAGCATTAGGTATATCTCCCAATGCTATCCCTCCCCCCTCCCCCCACCCCACCACAGTCCCCAGAGTGTGATATTCCCCTTCCTGTGTCAATGTGATCTCATTGTTCAGTTCCCACCTATGAGTGAGAATATGTGGTGTTTGGTTTTTTGATCTTGCGATAGTTTACTGAGAATGATGATTTCCAATTTCATCCATGTCCCTACAAAGGACATGAACTCATCATTTTTTATGGCTGCATAGTATTCCATGGTGTATATGTGCCACATTTTCTTAATCCAGTCTATCATTGTTGGACATTTGGGTTGGTTCCAAGTCTTTGCTATTGTGAATAATGCCGCAATAAACATACGTGTGCATGTGTCTTTATAGCAGCATGATTTATAGTCCTTTGGGTATATACCCAGTAATGGGATGGCTGGGTCAAATGGTAATTCTAGTTCTAGATCCCTGAGGAGTCGCCACACTGACTTCCACAATGGTTGAACTAGTTTACAGTCCCACCAACAGTGTAAAAGTGTTCCTATTTCTCCACATCCTCTCCAGCACCTGTTGTTTCCTGACTTTTTAATGATTGCCATTCTAACTGGTGTGAGATGGTATCTCATAGTGGTTTTGATTTGCATTTCTCTGATGGCCAGTGATGATGAGCATTTTTTCATGTGTTTTTTGGCTGCATAAATGTCTTCTTTTGAGAAGTGTCTGTTCATGTCCTTCGCCCACTTTTTGATGGGGTTGTTTGTTTTTTTCTTGTAAATTTGTTTGAGTTCACTGTAGATTCTGGATATTAGCCCTTTGTCAGATGAGTAGGTTGCGAAAATTTTCTCCCATTTTGTAGGTTGCCTGTTCACTCTGATGGTAGTTTCTTTTGCTGTGCAGAAGCTCTTTAGTTTAATTAGATCCCATTTGTCAATTTTGGCTTTTGTTGCCATTGCTTTTGGTGTTTTGGACATGAAGTCCTTGCCCATGCCTATGTCCTGAATGGTAATGCCTAGGTTTTCTTCTAGGGTTTTTATGGTTTTAGGTCTAACGTTTAAATCTTTAATCCATCTTGAATTGATTTTTGTATAAGGTGTAAGGAAGGGATCCAGTTTCAGCTTCCTACATATGGCTAGCCAGTTTTCCCAGAACCATTTATTAAATAGGGAATCCTTTCCCCATTGCTTGTTTTTCTCAGGTTTGTCAAAGATCAGATAGTTGTAGGTATGTGGCATTATTTCTGAGGGCTCTGTTCTGTTCCATTGATCTATATCTCTGTTTTGGTACCAGTACCATGCTGTTTTGGTTACTGTAGCCTTGTAGTATAGTTTGAAGTCAGGTAGTGTGATTCCTCCAGCTTTGTTCTTTTGGCTTAGGATTGACTTGGCAATGCGGGCTCTTTTTTGGTTCCATATGAACTTTAAAGTAGTTTTTTCCAATTCTGTGAAGAAAGTCATTGGTAGCTTGATGGGGATGGCATTGAATCCGTAAATTACCTTGGGCAGTATGGCCATTTTCATGATATTGATTCTTCCTACCCATGAGCATGGAATGTTCTTCCATTTGTTTGTATCCTCTTTTATTTCCTTGAGCAGTGGTTTGTAGTTCTCCTTGAAGAGGTGCTTCACATCCCTTGTAACTTGGATTCCTAGGTATTTTATTCTCTTTGAAGCAATTGTGAATGGGAGTTCACTCATGATTTGGCTCTCTGTTTGTCTGTCGTTGGTGTATAAGAATGCTTGTGATTTTTGTACATTGATTTTGTATCCTGAGACTTTGCTGAAGTTGCTTATCAGCTTAAGGAGATTTTGGGCTGAGATGATGGGGTTTTCTAGATATACAATCATGTCGTCTGCAAACAGGGACAATTTGACTTCCTCTTTTCCTAAGTGAATACCCTTTATTTCCTTCTCCTGTCTAATTGCCCTGGCCAGAACTTCCAACACTATGTTGAATAGGAGTGGTGAGAGAAGGCATCCCTGTCTTGTGCCAGTTTTCAAAGGGAATGCTTCCAGTTTTTGCCCATTCAGTATGATATTGGCTGTGGGTTTGTCATAGATAGCTCTTATTATTTTGAAATACGTCCCATCAATACCTAATTTATTGAGAGTTTTTAGCATGAAGGGTTGTTGAATTTTGTCAAAGGCTTTTTCTGCATCTATTGAGATAATCATGTGGTTTTTGTCTTTGGCTCTGTTTATATGCTGGATTACATTTATTGATTTGCGTATATTGAACCAGCCTTGCATCCCAGGGATGAAGCCCACTTGTATTTCTTTTATTTTTTAAGTGAAGTGAAACGGTAACCTGTGCTAACAGGAAGCAATGTGAGCAATTGACCAACTTGATTTTCCCTAATGCATATTCTTACTTTTAATTGAAATTATTGAGGCCTGACTTTGTTCAGCAATACTGAATAATAACATCTGAAGGTCGACTCAAATTTTGCTGTATTGTTGATTTTTTTATGTTTATATTTTTTATATAAAATATATTTTATATTTATATTTTTCTATTTACTTGCTTGTATATGCCTGATTTATTAGAAATTGTGCTTAGAAAACCTGTTGTAACTTTTTTTACCTTTAATAATTATTTTCACTTCACGCAATTTAATTTAAATGATTGGAAGGAGAAATCCTGCAGGCAGGTAGAATAATTTGAAGGCCACTTGCTTATTATGCATGTTAAGTTCTTATGAGTGATAATCAAGAAAGTGATAAATTATAAGCAAAAACATAATGCTGACCTTTAAAATTCTGACCCACAATTATCTATTAGCTTTTTATTGGCCTTGTAACACATGAGAAATAAACTGAATATTTTCTAAGTACTAGAACTTTAGATGGAATGCTTAGGACATAAAATTATATCTAACAACAATAACTGGCAAATTCCCTGCAGTCTTTCTCCCATTTTGTAGGAAGTGCTGAAACTATCACCAACAACTAAAGGAAGGAGCAAAAGGTATAATAAGAAAAATGGGTAGTTAAAGATAATTCACCAATGTAATCTGCTTTTGAAATTGTTTCTATGATTTGCAATAATCAGAGAGCCCAGCGAAGTTAAGTCTTGATCTTGGAAAAGATAAAATTACTCAAGCAATTTAAACTACGGGAAGGTTGAATGAGACTTTGGTAAGGGAGTGGAGCTAACCAGCTTATAATGTTTTGCTGAGTTTTGTGGGGTCCAACAGGAAGTTATCCTGTGGGGAACTAATGTGCTGTAACTCTGTGTATCTGATTGGGTTTGTATTAATCAAATTACCCTTGGGCATGCACTGGGGTTTCCTCCACTGAACATATCTAGAGATTGTTAAAACCCTATAATCAAAGCTTTTCTAGTGGGCAGCCAGGTTCACATTAGGAAGCAGAACTGTAATTCCACACAGAAACTAGTAGAAATCCATTTCTCCATTTCTCTTTGACTCAGAAACCTATCATATTAAATCAACTTTAAGTTAATCACTTCTCCTCCCTCATAGTCTAAGAACTTCTGAAAATGTTATCTTGTAAATATATGGTTATATTGAGTTATTTAATGCTTCATTGCAAATGACTTTTTGGTTTCCTATAATGTTAAGCAATCAAATTTATATTAACTCACTAAACTAAATCACTGCTTGCTTTTTATTTTCTTTTTTGGGGGGAGGGGCTTTTATCTAATCCATCAGTTTCAAATACTAAAGTGTTTGAAACCATTAAGCCCAAGAGCCATGAATTTAGATTGCTTTGTTGCAAATCCTGTTTCTACCATTTACTAGAAAGGTGCTTTCAGGCCACATTGTTAAACTTTCTCAGTTTTCTTATTTGCTAAATTGGGAAAGTGGTATTTGTAACCCTTATTGAGAGAGTTATAAAAATTGTATTATGTATTGTGTCAAGCTTCTGGAATAATTTTTTAAATGTTAGCTATTATAATTATTCAGTTTATAAAAACTATTTCTTTTCTCTCTGTGACTTGATTCTTACCATAAAATATAAAATATCCATATCCTGACACTAGTGTCCTATAGAGATTACCTTTATACCAATTGCCTCTCCTGCGTCTTTGAAACCTATCTTGTGAATTTCCTTATCTGGTGTGAAAATTCACTGAAAAACACAGGATATAAGTTGGACTTGACTTTGTAAAGTCAAGTTTCCCATTTCCACTTAGAAGTAATTGTTTTGCTCAGATTAGTAGTGTATTTAGCATATCACTCTACCATGAATACTTGTTAAAAGAAAGAGAAAGCCAGGGTCAGTATTGGAGGTCCTCTTTTCATTTTATTATTTTATGTGTTTTTATTTTGATTTTCTGTTCTGTGCTGAGCACTGTATTAGAATACTGTACTTAATCCTCCAACTAAAACAAAATAAAACAACAACAAAAATCTATTTTTTTTTCTTAAAGATCTTAGGGACTATACTAGAAACCCATATTGAAAACATATGGGCACAAAGAGGACATCACTGACCGCAGTATCCAGGTGAAAAGTGGGCAGTGGTGCAGCCAGGCCTCAAAGACAGCAGAAACAGTGGCACGCTCTTTGCCAGGCTCTGTTTCTCTGTGGTGATCTTTTTTTCTAACTTTCATTTTAGGTTCAGGTGCACATGTGGAGATTTGTTATATAGGTAAATTGCCTGTCATGGGGATTTGGTGACAGATTATCTTATTACCCAGGTAATAAGCATGGTACCTCATAGGTAGTAATTCAGTCCTATTCTTCCTCCCACCCTCCACCCTCAGGTAGGCCCCAGTGTCTGTTGTTTTCTTCTTTGTGTCCATGTGTATTCAGTGTTCAGCTCTCACTCATAAGTGAGAATATGCTGTATTTAGTTTTCTGTTGCTGCGATAGTTTGCTTAGGATAACGGCCTCCAGCTCCATCCATGTTGTTGTGATGGTCTTTATTATCTTCTGTAAGCTAGTTTCTTTTACATGCTCTTCATCTTGGCCCTGGCAGTTCTTGTCCTCACAGATTCACCAACAGAGATGGGCTAAAAAAAAGCCCAAGTCCCAGAGAATAACTCTGACACCCTGGCATAGAGTCCATATCTGTCTTTGTGTCTTGGAAGGTGGACAACTGTGATTGTCAGTCTCTATTAAAATCCCTCAGTTGCAGTGAAGAAGGAGATGGTTTACTAGAAGATTAGAGGTGATGCTTCTAAACAATGGGGGAGGGGGAGGTAGTTGCTGTGGAGATTAAACAATACACATGGAGGTATGGAGGTAGCTTTGGTGTCCATCTGACTGAACTTACATTATGAATTCCCAATTTTCAGTCCTTCTGCCCATGGAGAAGTAATGTGCTACTCGCTTTTTGTTTGTTTGTTTGTTTATTTTTGAGACAGGGTCTCACTCTATTCACTCTAATTGCAATTGCCCAGGCTGAAGTACAGTGGCATGATTTTGGCTCACTGCAGCCTTGACCTTTCCTGGGCTCAAGTGATTCTTCCACCTCAGCCTCCAGAGCAGCTGGGACTACAGGCACAAGCCACCATGCCCAGCTAATTTTTTGTATTTTTAGTAGAGACAGGGTTTTGCCATGTTGCCCAGGCTGGGATGTGCTACTCCTATGCCTTGGTCTCCTTACATGAAAAATTGAAATACACAGGATCGAGTGCCTCAAGCACAGTACCTATCATGTATTAATGGCACTGTAAGTAAGACTTCTTATTTTAATTATCATGTCCTTTGTGTTGGCTAAGTGATCTCAATATCTCTATTAAAGAAAGCTAATATAACTTTTTTATTTTGAAAACAGAGGGCTGGATCAAATTTCTTTGACGGGGGCAGGTCTTTGAAATCTACTAACTTTATGACAGGAGCTGAAAAATAGTCATGATAGTCGTTATTATCAAAGTTGTTTGTAGCGTGGGAGATAGTCAGTCTTGTTTTCCAAGAGGTAAGTTACCTTCCAAGGGAAAGGGGCATTTCTGGGTTTCTGTTGGAAGGTGTAGCCATATAGACAGTTTGTTGAATTCAGATTGGCAAAATCTTGTGGATTTCTCAAGCCTTTACCCCAGACCCTTACACCAATGATAGGGTAGGGTCTGAGGACTTTAGAGAGCTCTTGGCCATTTTCATGCTGAACTTTCCTGATGAGTCTCTTGGGAAGCTGTTTAGGTAAAGGTTTCAGAGAACATAAGGCTTCTCCAGAGAAGTTCTCTGAGCTTGTTGGAAGTGAGGTGGCAGTGGCCTGAGAAGGAGACAGCAGGATTTTACTACTGCACACATCCAATGTAAGATAATATTTTAAAACCCATATTTCTCAAATGATTAAATACTTAAGTTGCTCACAAATGTCTGCTGAGAAGAGCTTTAGATATTTCTAGGCTTGAAAAGACCATCAGGTTCATTTGTGTTGGGCACAATTCATCCTAGGTGATCACACACAGCTTTTCTAATGATTAGAATACTCAGAAGCATGGGATGCTGTTAATGAGGGCAGTGTGCCTTTAACATAGGCATAATTTAAAGTGAAAGGGTGTTTCCTTTTTCAATTGCAAAAGACTGAACTATGGCTTATACTCTGAACGTTAATAAGTATTCTGTGAGATAAAAATATATTTGAAAGTGAATTTCCCCATTTTCCATGCCTATGTATAGTTGAGGCAAAAAAGGTGTGGATAGATTTTAATATTATCAAATTGGTCATTTTTCAAGATGGGTTTTAACCAGATATTGTTCCGCTTCAAGGCAAAATTTTAAAACAACTTTGTTTACAGTTAAATATGTAGTTTTATATTTGGATATAATAACTTTTCTTTAAAGACCAGTCCCCTGTAAACCAGTCCTTGGTTAAAATTACTGCTTGGATCCTGCAGGATTTTCTTCCTCCTATCTTTCTTCCAATACAATTGAATATTGATTACGATGTTTTCCATGTATGTATCTATTCAAGTCAATTTTGTTAACCTATTCCCTATAGGAAGGATAAAAACATTTTATAGAATGTTGCATGCAGCATTCATTCTAATTTCCTTCATGTGATTGATTGCAAATATTCCTTTGCTTATATAACATGTTTCATGATAAAGTGAAATGTGAACACTTACAGATAGATCACTTTCCAAAAGCTACTATGAGCAACTATATGCCAATAAATTGAAAAATCTAGAATAAATGGGCAAATTCCTAGATACATAAAATGTACCAATATCAAACGAATAAGAAATCTAAGACCTGAAAAGACCAATAACAAGTAACAAGATAGAAGCTGTAATAAAAAGTCTCCCAGTAAAGAAAAGGCCAGGATGTGAGGACTTCACTGCTGAATTCTACCAAACATTTAAAGAAGAACTAACAAAAAACCTACTCAAACTATTCTGAAAAATAGAGGAGGAAAAAATACTTCCAATCTCCTTCTACAAGGTCAATATTATCCTGATACCAAAACCAGACAAAGACAAATGAATACAAGAAAATTAAAAAAAATATCTCTGATGAATATTGATGCAAAAATCTTCAACAGAATACTAGCATATCTGATTCAACAATGCTTTAGAAAGATCATCAATCATGACGAAGTGGAATTTATCCCTGGGATGCAAGGATGGTTCAATATATGCAAATATATCAGTGTGATACATGATATCAACAGAATGAAGGATAAAAACCATATGATCATTTCAATTCATGCTGGAAAAGCATTTGATAAAATTCAACATCCGTCATGATACAAATCCTAAAAAAACTGAGGATACAAGAAATATACCTCAACATAATAAGAGCCATATATGACAGACACACAGCTAGTATCATACTGAATGGGGAAAAATTGAAAGCCTTTCCTCTAAGATCTGGAACACAGTAAGAATTTCCACTGTCACCAGTTATTCAACATAGTACTGGAAGTCGTAGCTACAGCAATTAGACAAGAGAAAAAATAAAGGGCATACAAATTGGAAAGGAAGAAATCAAATTTTATTTGTTTACAGATGATATGATCTTATATTTGGAAAAACCTAAAGACTCCATGAGAAAACTATTGGAACTTATAAACAAATTCATTAAAGTTCTAAGCTAGAAAATCGTCATACAAGAATTAGTAGTATTTCTATATGCCAACAGTGAACAATCTGAAAGAGAAAAGTAATCACGGCTGGGCACAGTGGCTCAAGCCTGTAATCCCAGAACTTTGGGAGGCCAAGTCAGGTGGATCATGAGGTCAGGAGATTGGGACCATCCTGGCCAACATGGTGAAACCCCATCTCTATTAAAATAAAAAAAAAAATTAGCCAGGCTTGGTGGTGCATGCCTGTACTCCCAGCTCCTCAGGAGGCTGAGGTGGGGGAATCACTCGAACCCAGGAGGCGAACATTGCAGTAAGCTGAGATTCCACCACTGCACTCCAGCCTGGCGACAGAGCGAGACTCAATCTCAGAAAAATAAAAAGTAATCACATTTCTAATAGCCACACATTAAATTAAATACCTAGGAATTAACATAACAAATGAAGTGAATGACCTGTAGAATGGATACTATAAATCACTGATGAAAGAAATTGAAGAGGACACAAAAAATGGAAAGATATTCCATGTTCACAGATAGGAAGAATCAATATTGTTAGAATGTCCATACTACCCAAAGCAATCTACAGATTCAGTACAATCCCTCTCAAAATACCAATGATATTTGTCACAGAAATAGGAAAGACAATCCTAAAATTTATATGGAACCACAAATGACCAAAGCAATCCTGTAGCCAAAGCAATCCTGAGCAAAAAAACAAAACTGGAGGAATCACATTACCTAACTTCAAATTATACTACAGAGCTACAGTCATCAAAACAGCATGGTACTGGCATAAAAACAGACACATTGACCAATGGAACAGAATAGAGAAGCCAGAAACAAATCCACACATCTACAATAAACTCATTTTTGACAAAGGTCCAAGAATATCAACTGGGGAAAACACATTCTCTTCAATAAATGTTGCTGGGAAAACTGGATATTTATATGCAGAAGAATGAAAATGGATCCCTGTCTTTCAAAAGTGTGAAATCAAAATAGATTAAAGACTCAAATGTAAGACCTCACATTATGAAACTACTATAAGAATACGTTAGGAAAAATCTCCAGAACATTGGTCTAGGCAAAAATTTCTTGAGCAATACCCCATAATCACAGGCAACCAAAGCAAAAATGGACAAATGGGATCACATCAAGTTAAAAAGCTTCTGAACAGCAAAAGATACAATCCACAAACTGAAAAGACAACGCACAGAATGGAATAAAAATATTGGCAAACTACCCATTTGCCAAGGGATTAATAACCAGAATATATAAGGAGCTCAAATAACATTATAGAGAAAAAAGTAATAATCTGATCTAAAGATGGGCAAAAGATTTGAATAGACATTTCTCTAAAGAAAACATACAGAAGGCAAACAGGATACGAAAAGGTGCTCAACATCACTGATCATCAGAGAAATGCAAAGCAAAACTACATTGAGATATAATCTCACCCCAGTTAAAATGGATTATATCCAAAAGACAGGGAATAACAAATGCTGATGAGGATGTAAAGAAAGGGGAGCCCTTGTATACTGTTGCTGGAAATGTTAATTGGTAGAACCACTACAGAGAACAGTTTGAAGTTTCCCCAAAAAAACTAAAAATTGAGCTATCATATGATCCAGCAATCCCACTGCTGGGTATATACCCAAAAGAAAGGAAGTCAGGACATCGAAGAGACACCTGCACTTCTACGTTTGTTTTAGCACTGTTTAGAATAGCTAAGATTTGGAAGCAACCTAAGTGTCCATCAACAGATGAATGAATAAAGAAAATATGGTACATATACACGATGGAGTACTATTCAGCCATAAAATAGAATGAGATCCAGTCATCTGCAACAACATGGATGGAAATGGAGATCATTATATTAAGTGAAATAAGGTCAGCAGAGAAAGACAAACATCACATGTTCTCACTTATTTGTGGGATCTAAAAATCAAAACAATTGAACATATGAACATAGAGAATAGAAGGATGGTTACCAAAGGCTGGGCAGGGTAGTAGGGGCCTGGGATTGGGAAGAAGTAGGGATAGTTAATGGGTACAAAAAAAAATAGAAAGAATGAATAAGACCTACTATTTGATAGCACAGCAGGGTGACTATAGTCGGTAATAACTGTACATTTTAAAATAACTTACATGGTGTAACTGAATTGTTTGCAACTTAAAGAACAAATGTTAATGTACCCCATTCTTCATGATATGCTTATTTCACATTGCATGCCTGTTTCAAAACATCTTTTGTACCCCATAAATATATACACCTATTATGTGCTCACAAAAAAATTTAAAAAAAAGATAATTGCTTGTTCATAAGAAGCAAATGATGAACCATAAGTCATCAAGACAGCCCTGCAAATACCTACCAAAAAATAGAACCAGCAAATAAGGCTGTCTCTTCCTTCTCTCATAAGGAAATTTAATACTCTATTCTTGGGAAATAAAATTGTATCTTGGCCAATTGATTGCAGTAGCATATGTTTTTACTCAGGTGATCAAGCCTTTTTCTTAAAGAGTGTATAAATGTAGTATATCAATATTATCATAAGCAAACTTATTCTTTCTTGATATTTTTTTTTTCTTGGGAACTTTCTGTTCCTTCATGGCAAGAGCACTTTGAAAGTTTTCCTTAACCCTCAGCCATGGCTTCTCATTCTCCAGAGTGACCCAGATCATCTACTTGTTTAACACATATTAAGGACCAGGCACTGGGCAGCCTTGTCTTTCAAGATGGTCAGCATAGAGAAGAGAACATGTGGAATAAAATCTGTCATTGTAGTGCTATGTAATGAGCCTAAGACAGAGGATCTCCAGACTCAGCCAGAGGACTGTGAAGATGCTTATGAGGAAGGGGAGCATCAAGCAAGCTGGTTCTTAAAGGAAGAGAAAGGATTAGCCAGAAAAGTCAGCATAAAGGCAGAGGAGGAAAATAATTTCCAGCAGGTGGAGAAGCATCGACAAAGACATGGACATTTGAGGGACTTTAGCACAGTGAAATATTCAAACATAGACTAGCGGGTCTGAAGCAAGTAGTATGTGCATGTGTGTGAGTGTTTGTGTGTGCACATGTGTGCCCATGCAGCAGTGGTGGTGGTGATGATGCAGTGGAAGTCTGTAGCTTTACAGATTGCTTGGCTCAATACAGTGTTCAAATATTTTCTGGGCATAGGGAGCAATCTCACTGCAAACGAGGCACATGAAAACATTTCTGTTCTCCCATGAATATGGGCATCACAATAGAAAAAAAAGAGATAAGTATGTGATTGTCTTTATATGGGTAAAAATCCAGAGAAAGAGGGAAGAAGTTAAGAACTGAGGTAGAGGGGCAGTTTCTAAGCCCTTCTTATGCTGGATCTTTGCAGTGTGCTTCCTTATTATTATCATTATGGTAATCATTATTTTGGGACACGCTGCATGTTTACACTGCTCTTAATGTCAATTTCAACATTCAGTCAAAAATCCAGAAATAGGCAGACCAGAAATTTTAAATATATTGCATTCCCCAAATCCCATTCCTAGCTAATAACTCACTAGAAATGGGATTTGAGGAATGCTATATATTTAAAATTTCAGGTCTGCCTATTTGCGTTTGCCCATAGAAGTAGTGTTATAAAAGGCAGAAAAAGTGCCAGGAACATGTCTCAAGTGCATTTGGCCCGTGGTCTGTTTGAGAAACAGTGATTCTGTATCCCTACAGCCATGTAGGTCTTGATTATAACTAAGCCTATCTCACCACCGGCATGGACCACAGGCACATCCAAGTCAACATACATACAACCAAGTCCTCATCTTCCATCATACACCTGACTGCAGATTGCTCAACCCCTCTGCCCCTGTCCTAATTAACAGAATCCCTATTCATTCAGACACCTAGTTGGGAACACTTACGGTCATTACTCCCTCCTAGTCCATGTTCCATGAGTCAACAAATCCACTAGATTCTATCTGAACATCACTTTAATCCATTACTTCCTCATTTCCTCTCGCTGCCCTAACCCAGGCCCTCATCTTTCTCCCCGAATGAGGACTTCAGTAGCCAGACTTTCTTATGTTAAGCTCAGAGTAACCTTACTAAGATGTACTCAGTTCATGTCTGAAATCATTCCAGTGGCTCAATATTGCCTTTCAGGTGGGGTTCAATCTTATTAATACCACACACAAGGCATCTCTGTGCACATTGACTTGTGCCTTTCATTCCAGTCCCAAGCAACAGTTGACTGCCTTCTAGAGGCACTGACTACACCCTACCTTCTCTACATTTTTGTACATTTCTCTCAATTTACCTCTCATTATCTCCTTGTCATCATTCAGAAATCAGACTAGACACCACATCTGAAAGGATTCTTTGTCCATTTAACCATTATTAATCACCAATATATTAAACATATTATGCTTGACCTGAAGATATAATGATAAATAAGAAAACAGTACCTGACCTCAATTTTGCTTGGCTATAACTGATTAAATAGACAATTGAATACAGGTAATTAGATTGGGGAAGGAGACTGTACTGGAGCACTTGGCAGTACTTAATCCAAAATGAACAGAAAGCTTCTCACAGAAAGTGACGTCTGCTTCAAGACCTGAAGAATAAATAGGATTGTCCAGATGAAGAGAAAGAAAGGGAGAGGAAAAGTAGTGCTCTAGATAGAGGTAACAGCCTATGTCAAGGTGTAAAGTTAGATACAGCAACATAATTTGCAGGACCAGTGCAAAATGAAAATATTGGTTCCCTTATTCAAAAAAGCAGGAAAAAATATGTTCTTAATAATATTAAGTTATAAAAGCTTTTCCTTTCCCCAGATGTTTCTCTCTCAACTTGTCATGGTGGTTTTTGTGTAGAGCCTCATAGGTGCCCAGAGGCCTGGCAAGATATTAGAAGCAAATGTGGCCCATTGGGTGGAGGTCCCCTCTCCCACAAGCAGCCAAACCGAAGAAACTTTGTTTGTTTGGGGGCTGTGTCTGAGAAAAGGTTTCAGTTCCTGACACATGTTCCATTGTGCTATGGAGTTTCACTTACAAAGCACAAACTCAAAGATAAAATTATTAAGAATTTCAAGATGACTTCTGGAATGATGGCACAAACAGCTTTATAGATCCTATTCCAGGTGAAACAACTATAGCATCTCTGGATATTGCTGGATATTGTTTTAAGGGCATGTATTCAAGTAAAAATTATGTCTTCAAGAAAAACTACCAAATCTTATTAAGTAAAGTGGAAGTCTATGGCATTTGAGTCACAATGTCCTCCCTACTTCCCATTTTTAGCTCAATGTGGTGGAAACTCCACTATGGTAGGTTGCAGACAAGAACATAGGGTTCTCTCTCTCACCAGGTTCCTATTGAGGGCTATGATATCTCCCTGAAGAAGTGCAGGCCACCAGCATTTCTCAACCCCCTCAGCTCAAAGTTGCAGAGGTTTTATTCCAGGAAAGAGAAGGCTAAGATGTCGAGGCTCCCTTTTTTCACCCAGATCCCACTCCTAGGGAATAACTTTATTCCAGACCTGGCAGGTCAAGAATAGTGGGGCTTAAATCACCAACACTCCAGATCACTTATTGGGTTGAGTTTCTATGCTGGAAGGAGTAAACCAAACAGACCAGAGATGGGTGCCTGAGCCCAGTACCCTGTAATGAAGCACAAGTGTCACTCTGAGACAAATGGACCATATTCCCTGCCCGGGTTCTACATTAGTAGTGGGTTTTCTCAGGGAAAGAAGCAGGCAATAAGAACAGAGGTCAGAAGCTCTCCCTAGAATAAGTGACTTCATTTGCAACAGAATGTGCTTAGGTTAAGGCTAAAGGCACTACAAAAAGAAAAAAAAAGATAGTGGTGGTAATAAATTACTAAGAAGCAGCTTGCTCAATGAGAGCAGCAACCTACACTCTAAACCAGTTAGAAATATACCAGAGAAATATAGGAAAGGAGATAGCTAAGAATAACCCTCCTGGAGTTAGAACAAACCTCAAAGATTACCTCTACAAAAGGAACACAATTTAATGGGATCAGATGGTGGTGCAATCTATGCCTCAGGGTGCTATTGATAACAATAGCAAGATTAAGTAGCAATTTGTGAAGGGTAACAGCTGCATGATAATCAAACTGAAGCAGATAGCTTAGCAAAGAGATCTGGGAAAAAAATAAAGAGAGCTCTGCTGAAATCACTGTCATCTTAGGGTAAATGTGTATATTCCTAGGGTTGTACCCTCTGAAGAGCGGCATCACAGGATGTAACCTGTTGAAGGCATGAGAAAAACTTCACTAAAATAGTCTAGCTATTTCACTAAAGTTACCAAAGAAATAAGCAAAAAACAACAAGCCTTAGAGAGGTGACCAGTATCCAGGATTGTTATGATATGTTACCTAAAATGTTTACTACCCAAGAAAATAAACAAGAAAATGTGATGCATACATTTAAAAAAAAGTGTCTAAAATTTTAGTGAATGGTAAAAGAATGAATTCCTTTCCCCCTGTGATCAGGAACTAAATAAAAATATTCACTCTCACCACTTCTATGTAACATTTTATTGCCTCTAACTAGGGCAGCTAGGCAAAAAAATGAAGTAAAGGCATTCAAATTGGAAAGAAAGTAGTAAAACTATATCTATTTGCTGTTGATATGATCTTGTGTATAGAAACATCTAAGGAACCCACTACAAATCTATTATAATTAATAACTTATTTCAGTCATTTTCAGGATATAAGATCAATATGCACAAATCTATTTTATTTCTATACACTAACAATGAAACTTCTGAAAATTAAAATGAGAAAACAATTTAATTTATTATAGCAAGAAAGACCAAATATTTACAAATCATATACCTGGTATGGTTCTTGTATCCAAAATATATTTTACAACTTCTTACAAGTTAACAATAAAAAACAAATAACCCAATTAGATAAACAAAAGGACTTGCCTTTTGTTATCCATTAGAGCAGCCATTTGAGAATACTGAGAAGTCATTGACATGACTTAAGGATTGCCTTGGCTATAGATAGCATCAAAAGTGGAAGTAGTGAGATCATTCAGAGGGCTATTACAGAAAACCAAGGGGAGAATGAAGTAGTTTGGAGTAAAGGTGACAGCTGTGGAGGTGCTGAAAAGTAGTCACATTGAGATTTTATTTATTTGTTTATTTTTATTTATATAAATTAATGGGGTACACGTGAAATTTTCTTACATGTATATAATTCATAGTGATAAAATCGGGGTATTTAGGGTGTCCATCACTCAAGTACTATACATTTTTCTTAACTATAGTCAACCTACTCTGCTATCAAACATTGAATTTATTCCTTCTATCTAACTGTATGTTTGTATACTTTAACCCACTACGCTTCACCTTCCCCCTTGCTCTCCATTCACCCTTCCTAGTCTCTGTCATCTATGAAGATATATTTAAATGTAAAACTGAATACTGATGAACATTTAAGATGGATATTTTTCTGGTAAATTTCTTAATATTAGTCATTCATATAACTACTATTTGTTTGTGTTTGTATGTGTATTTATAAGAACTATTCTATAATCTTATGTTGCCAGACTTTGTTAGGTAAGAATAGGGCACTACTTGTACAGACTAATTGATAAGGCCCCAGAATGCTGGATGAACTATTTCAGAGAAAGAGAAATTATCCCTAAAATAAGAACTTGTGTCTTTGTAATAGAATTGAGGATTACCTAGGCAACTGGCTTAACAGTAGTGACTAAGAAGATAGAATTCTGGAAGCAAAACTGGGCTTTTCTCCTTACTGCTATGTAACCTTGGCTAAGTTAATTAATATTTCCAAATCTAAAAGCATATTCTATAAAATGGATATAATAAAAACTTTGTAAACTTTCTGAGAAAATTATATGTGTTTGTATATTTTAAAAGCCTGGTACAGAATAGAAAGCCCATAGATGATAAGAACGTAAGTCATTCTAATACACTAATAGATAAAGGATATTTGGATTGTCAATCATTCTCTATTTGTACAGGCAAATGTGTACATATTGTAACATAATGAAGCAATTCATTTTTTAGAATCCTATTAAATTATGTCATTAAATACAATAGAATAATAATAATTAGTACTTCACCTCATTGCCTTAATACATTTTAAATGTATTGTTTAATATCCTGAATATTGAGAGAGAGAAACAGAAATTATTTGGAAGCACAATTATATTCCTGCATTACATGAAAGAACTCCAGAGATTTATCTATACAAAACAGATAAAAACTATACACTAGTATTTCAGAAACATTAAAAACACATTAAAACTTTTTAAATTAGTTCAAGTATTTTTAGTTTAGTTTTTCCATATTAAAATTATATAGAAGAGGTCACAGGACATGTTTCCATTTAACTGTGTCTTCTTCAATGTCTTTCTTTTTTAAAAAGCAGTAAGTAAAATTTTATTGTACTAATTTATTTATTTTTCACTTTTTAAAAATTTTACTTTAAGTTCCGGGATACATGTGCAGAACGTGCAGGTTTGTTCCATAGGTATACATGTGCCATGGTGGTTTGCTGCACCTATTGACCTGTCCTCTATGTTCCTTCCCCTCATCCACCACCCCCCAAAAGGCCCTGGTGTGTGTTGTTTCCCATCCTGTGTCTGTGCTTTCTCATTGTTCAACTCCCACTTATGAGTGAGAACATGCAGTGTTTGGTTTTCTGTTCCTGTGTTAGTTTGCTGAGGATGATGGCTTCCAGCTTCATCCACGTCTCTGCAAAGAACATGATCTCATTCCTTTTTACAGCTGCATAGTATTCCATGATGTATATGTACCACATTTTCTTTATCAAGCCTATCTATCATTGATGGGCATTTAGGTTCGTTCCATGACTTTGCTATTGTAAATAGTGCTGCAATAAACATACATGTGCATGTGTCTTTACAGTAGAATGATTTATATTCCTTTGGGTATATACCCAGTAATGGGATTGCTGGGTCAAATGGTATTTCTGGTTCTAGATCCTTGAAGAATAGCCATACTGCCTTCCACAATGGTTGAACTAATTTACATTCCCACCAACAGTATAAAAGCATTCCTATATCTCCACAGCCTTACCAGCACCTGTTGTTTCTTGACTTTTTAATAATCGCCATTCTGACTAGAGTGAGATGGTATCTCATTGTGGTTTTGATTTGCATTTCTCTAATTATCAGTGATGTTGAGCTTTTTTTTCATATGTTTGTTAGCTGCATAAATGTCTTCTCTTTTTTTTTTGAGACAGAGTCTTGCTCTGTTGCCAGGCTGGAGTGCAGTGGTGTGATCTCAGCTCACTGTAACCTCCGCCTCCCCGATTCAAACGATTTTCCTGCCTCAGCCTCCTGAGTAGCTGGGACTACAGGCATGTGCCACCACGCCCAGCTAATTTTTGTATTTTTAATAGAGATGGGATTTCACCATGCTAGCCAAGATGGTCTCCATCTCCTGACCTTGTGATCTGCCCACCTTGGCCTACCAAAGTGCTGTGATTACAGGCGTGAGCCACAGCACCTGGCCATAAATGTCTTCTTTTGAGAAGTGTCTTTTAATATCCTTTGCTCACTTTTTGATGGAGTTGTCTTTTCTTGTAAATTTGTTTAAGTTCCTTGTAAATTCTGGATATTAGACCTTTGTCAGATGGGTAGATTGCAAAAACTTTCTCCCATTCTGTAGGTGGCCTGTTCACTCTGTTGCTAGTTTCTTTTCCTGTGCAGAAGCTCTTTAGTTTAATTAGATCCCATTTGTCAATTTTGGCTTTTGTTGCAATTGCTTTTGGTGTTTTCATCATGAAGTCTTTGCCCATGCCTATGTCCTGAATGGTATCGCCTAGGTTTTCTTCTAGAATTTTTATGGTTTTGGGTTTTACATTTAAGTCTTTAATCCATCTTGAGGAAGGGATCCAGTTTCAGTTTCCTGCATATGGCTAGCCAGTGTTCCCAGCACCATATACTGAATAGAAAACCCTTTCCCCATTGCTTGTTTTTGTCAGGTTTGTCGTAGGTCAGATGATTGTAGATGTGTGGTGTTATTTCTGAGGTCTCTGTTCTGTTCCATCAATCTGTATGTCTGTTTTGGTACCAGTACCATGCTGTTTTGGTTACTGTAGCCTTGTACCATAGTTTGAAGTCAGGTAGCATGATGCCTCCAGCTTTGTTCTTTTTGCTTAGGATTGTCTTGGCTATACAGTGTCTTCTTTGTTTCCATATAAAATTTAAAATAGTTTTTTTCTAATTCTGTAAAGAATGTCAATGGTAGTTTAATGGGAATGGCATTGAATCTGTAAATTACTTTGGGCAGTATGGCCATTTTCACTAAATTTATTCTTCCTGTGCATGAGAATGGAATGTTTCTTCATTTGTGTCCTCTCTTATTTCCTTGAGCAGTGGTTTGCAATTCTCCTTTAGTCTTTCTTTAGTCTTTTGTTTTTATTTATTTATTTATTTATTTATTTTTGAGACAGGATCTTTTTCTGTTGCTCAGGCTGGAGTGCCGTGGCATGATCATAGCTCACTGCAGCCTCAACCTTCCAGTTTTAAGATTTCCTCCCACTTCAGCCTCCCTAGTAGCCAGGATTGCAGGCATGTGCCACCGTACCTAGCTATTTATTTTTTAATTTTTTTGTAGAGATGAAGTCTTGCTATGTTTACCAGTCTCTTCTTCAATTTCTTTCTTCAGTATTTTATAGATTTCAGTGAATACATCTTTTAGTTTCTTATTTAAATTTATTCCTAAGTATTTTATTCTTCTTGATGCTATCATAAATGGGGTTGCCATTATAACCTAGCAATCCTTCTGCCCTATTAAAAACGTCTACCATATGATCCAGCAACCCACTACTGAGTAAATATCCAAAGAAAATTAAATCACTATGTTGAAGAGAGGTATGTACCCCCATGCTCATTGTAGCACTATTCACACTAACAAAGGTATGGAATCAACCTATATTTTCATCTATGGCTAAATGAATAAGGAAAATGTGGTATATACACAATGGAATGCTAGTCAGCCTTAAAAGAAAAGAAAATTCTGTCATTTGTGATGACATTGGTAAACCTGGAAGCCATTAAATTAAGTGGAATAAACCAGACACAGAAAGACACATACCACATCATGTCATTTACATGTGGAATCTAAAAAATGGGAAATAATAAACACAGAGAGTTTAATGATGGTTACTAGGGGTAGGTCAGGGGGAAGAAATTGGGAGATGTGGGTCAAAGGGTAGAAATTTGCAGTTGTGGGATGAATAAGTCTAGAGATAGAATGTACAGCAAGAGGACTATAGTTAATAATATTGTATTGCATATAATAAAATGGACAAACAAAGAGAAGAAACAAAAAACTATCAATATCAGGAATAAAACAAGATATATTACTAAAGTCTCTGCAGGCATCTAAAAGATAATAAGGGAATATATGAATGACTGTACACACATAATTTTGATAACTCACATGAAATTGACTAATTCCTTATTATGGATTTGTTTCCTGGAGATCATTTGATCTTGTAGGATGGTGAGGACATATCTTAGGAGGATATCTGCATAAAAATTGATATTAACGTGAGTGCTAATCCTCATTTCCTTAAATCAGCTTACTAAAAACTATTTCCGATATCTACATCCTCTGTTATTTTCTTTTCAAGTGACTTTACAGTCATTTAAGAAAGCTATATATAGATGTAGATATAGATATTTAATTTTAAATAAAAATACACGTTTAAGATATCATAGCCTTAAATGGAAAGAAAGAAGAAAGAAAAAGAAAAAAAGGAAGAAAGGAAGGAAGGAAAGAAGGAAGAAAGGAAGGCACAACAACTTAGTAATAATGTATACTTGAACAATAAAATGCAACATATAGACTCAGAAAGCAGAGAAAGGCACTCTACAAAGAATAATAGGCTCACCTGACTGGCATTATTTAGCAGTCTTCTGTGATTTGCATTGTCAGCAGACTCTATGGTACCATGGCAAAAACAGACCTCTATATTATTCCTTTATTTATTTATCTGATTGGTTGGTTGGTATAAAAAGCTCATACTCAATTTTTTATTTTCACTTTTATATTGTCTTTCTGATCTTGCCCAGATTGGTATCCGAGTCTTCTTTTCCATTTTGACAAAATGTTAACACCATCTATTTTCAACAAATACCACAAATCTAAGATTTCTCTGAAAACACTTAATAAAACTGTCACTATTCCGATTCCTCTATTTTAATTTTCCTTTCCTTTTCTTACATTCTCATCTTCCTAAATAATATTTGCCTTATTTACAAACTATACCAGTGGTACTGATTTTTATTGATAATTTAACATTGTTGCCTGTTGTTTTTTATACCTTCTAAGAAGTCATCTATAAATCATTTACTAAGGAAGACTATAGCTTACAATAAAATAATCAAATATTTCCATCATTTAAAGTCCCATTTTCCTACTTTCTTTTTAGAGGACCGTCATTTGTTCTTCTTTGCTTGATATAATAAAAAAAGAACAGTCAGATATATTTTCAAGTGGAGGATAAGTCATCCACCTATCAGAGACTTCTTCAGAGAATAGCAATTGTGTCTCTGCCTCAATGCCCATGCCAAAGCTTGTGGCCAATGTAGCAGTGTCATTTTCCTTTCCCCTTTTCATATCATCCTTTTATAAAGGCTGTGGAAAAGTGAAAGTGCAAAAAGTTAGATCTCTTGGCATACACTGTGCTACTGTTTCAGATAGTTGCTCCCTTAATTGGCCTTTAAATTCTAAATTCTGCAGTGGGCAAGTCACTGAGATTCTACAGTGACAGTATTGGCCAGCCAGCGAATATAGTTATAAGAGGGTCCAGTGCCTGCCTTTGTGACATGCAGTGTTGAAGGCTTTCAAACTGGAGCTCTGCCTCTCCATCTATACCCACATGAATACACTAAAAACTTAGACAGTAAATCTTGTCAAGTTTCATAGAGGCACATATCTCAGGTATTGAGTTTTAGATGTCAGGTTTCCCAAGTAAATAGTTAAAGTGTTTTGAAGCTGTGAATTTCAGTCTTAGTCATAAATATGTGTTATTTCATTAGAATACTGGCAGAAATCCCAGGTATAAATGAGCAAATGAAAGCCATAAGCATTAAAAAACATTTAGTAGGAAGAGATATCTATATGTTTATGCTGAAACTGAGGGAGTTCTCTTAATCATTGTATAGATAGTTAAATAATGTTGATAGCTTTTGAAATTTCTTCTTACTTAGGTAACTGATAATGGTAAGAAGAAAATACCTCAAACAAGGACAAATGAGAACTATTTCTTACACGTTTACTTTTCACTTCTATTACTTAGAAAATGGAGGGCATACTGGGATTCAGGCTGAGTTATTTACTACCTCAACTCACTGGACAATTGCCATTCTTTCACTATAGTTTTAGTTATAAGAGCCTAGAATAATACAGAATGAAATATATCTTGACAATTCTCCACTGAAAATGGGCTTGTATTTATATTCAACTGCTTTGATTTGAAGTCCCTTGTAGAGCTCCTATCCCTTTAAAAGTACAGTTACCACCAATCTAGGTATTACTTTAAAAATTCATCCTTTCATCTTTCCTGCCCTGAATGTATTGATGTTTGACTACAAACTTCATTGTGTTTTGAGTCTCTCCATCTGACCCCTAAACGTGAAGAAGGTGCACAGAAGAACACAAAAAAACAAACAGGAAAAATCAAAATTCTAGAGAAACACAATATGAAATGATTCTATGTTTCAATGTGTACAACAATAAATAATTTATTCAAACTGCACTACTATCTTGGGCATCTGTGCCTTTTTTCAGTTTTATAATATGGTGTGTGCCCTTAAACATAATCTTCTGACTCATAGTAAATATATTCTTTATTTATATATTCATTCATTTATTTTTTAATCTTCTAGCATACTTGTCTTGGATAACCAATACACTCTATCTTATTTTCATGGAAGCAGTGCCTGATCAAAAAGTGTTCTAATGATCTAAGTAGGTCAATCCAGTACCTTTTCTGGATTGATAGGGAGATGACAAAAAAAATAGGAAGAAATGACTCTTACCTCTGGAATTGCTAAGCACAGAGGATGAGAATTTGTAACTGTTAAGAAGCATATTTTATCTCATAGAAGAGACCTATCTGAAGAATGAAGTTAAATGAAATTAGCAAAGAGGAATGGTAGATGGAGTCTGGGAAAGCTCTGGCATATACTGGTTTCTACTGTCTGACTTTGGGCCCTGGGTACTGCAACTCTTCAATTTTATAACCTTCTTCAGTTAAGCTTTAGGAGTAGCCTAGTTCCATTTTGGTTTTTTGCTTGTTTGTTTGTTTGTTTAAATTATTTTGAGTTGATATCCATCACTTACAACTGAAAAACTTCTGTTTTACTTTAGGATCTCCAATTTCCTTTTGAAAATTGATTTCTAGAAGTATCATTGTTTGCTCAAAGAATGAGTTTTAAGACTTGGTGCATATTGCCAAGTTCTATTCCATGATATAATTTACACTCCATTAATAATGAATGAGAGTTTGCCACAGATAGGTTTCTGAAATTCTCCAAATGATGACATATATCTGGGTTTGAGACTGCTTATAATCTAAGTCATTATTTTATTTATTTCTCCAATATTTATTGAGCACCTACAGTGTGCCAGGGATTTTCTGTGATCTAGAATATAAAGATCAGGATGTTACTTGACCTGTCTTAAATGAAGTCATACTCAGTGTGAGAAGCACATGGCTTCCCATCTAAATATATCAGGATGTGATCAATGACATGGTGACTTTATGGATAAAGGATCCTAGAAGTACGGGAGAGGAAGCAATGATCTGAGATCAGTAGAAATGGTTTCATAAAGCAGATTAAAATTCACTTTAAACAGAATATTTGACCACGATACAAGTGGAAAGGGTAGAAGAAACTGCAGGAGAAAAAAAGATGCATAAAAGGGAGTAGCTCATTATAGATGAATAATGTAGTGTTTAAAGAATAATGTAAAAAGCATCTGAAATATCTGTGAATTTGACTACTCTAGGGATCTCATATAAGTGGAATTGTATAGTATTTGTCCTTTTGTGTCTGGCTTACTTCATTTAGCATATTGTTTTCTAGTGTTCAGTTGGTATGGAGTTAAGGGATATGATTCATGATCATCAGGAGAACTCAAGTGAAGAAAGATTGGGTCTGTGCACTGTTATTCAAAATGAACAATATTTGCATCTAAGGGAAGAGTATGGGAAGACCACACTGGGAAGTTAGTGTAGTTATTAAAGCTCTCCTTGGCACATCAAATGCTGGGCATGTGCAGCTGACCTGCAATGAGAAAACCTGGCCATCATGGATTTTATGTATACCCTAGTCTAGAAAAGGATGGAGCTGGATATATAGATGAGATCCATCAATGCATCAATTCCAGGCAAATACTGGCCAAAAAAAAGGGCAAAAACTAAACATATGCTTAATTTATTGCATAGTCCTGAATGTAGGACAGAGGGTCTCAGATTATGGGAAAATTTCTACAGGACGGGATCATCGAAGACTCCCTTTGGTTGAGATCTTCTACAGTCAGTGCATCTCAGAGAGAGGGATGGAAATCAGAAAAGCCAAAACCATCAAACTGTTAGAAGAAAATGTAGCGGAAATGCTTCATGACACCATTTGGCAATGACTTATTGGACATGACACCAAAAGCATAGACCACAAAAGGAAACATAGGTAAATGAGACTTCATTAAAATTTAAAACTTTTTTGCATCAAAGGACACAATGGACAGTGAAAAGGCAAACCACTGAATGAGAGAAAACATTTGCAAATCATATATCAGATAAGGGATTTATATCCAAAATACATTAAAGGAAAACTCCCGCAACTCAAAAACATAAAAAGAAGCAGTCCAGTTAAAAAATGGGCAAAGGATTTGAATAGGCTTCTCCAAAGAAGATATGAAGATGGCCAATAAGTACAGGAAAACATGTTCAACATCACTAATTATTAGGAAATGCAAATCAAAATCACAATAAGATGCCACTTCACATCCATAAGGATGGCTATTATTAAAAGCAAAACCAAAAAAAAAAAAAAAAAAAGCAAAAGAAAATTGTTGGTGAGGATGTGAAGGAATTGGAACTTTTGTGTATCCCTGGTGGGAACGTAAAGTGGTATAACCCTTGTGGAAAACAGTATGATTGTTCTCAGAAAACTAGACATAGAATTACTATGTGATCCCATAATTCCTCTTCTGGGTATATACTGAAAACATAAATAAAAAGCAGGAACTTGAACACATATTTGTACACTTAAGTTCATAGCAGCATTATTCACAATAGCCAAAAGGTAGGAAAACCCAAATGCCTTTCAGAAGATGAATAGATACACAGAATGCACTATATACATAAAATAGAATATTATTCCGTTTTAAAAAGGATAGAAATTAGGACATATGCTACAATGTAGATGAACTTCAAAAACAGTATACTAAATGAAATAAGCCAAACACGAAAGGACAAATACTATACAATTCCACTTACATGCGGTCCTTAGAGTAGTCAAATTCACAGAGACAGAAAATAAAATGATGATTACCAGGAGACAGCAGTAGGGAATAATGGGGAGTTATTGTTTAATAGGTACAGAGATTCAGTTTGGGATGATGAAAGAGCTCTGGATGTAGATGGGGGTGATGATTGCACAGCAGTATGAATGCTCTTAATGCCACTCAAATGGACACCTAAAAATGGTTAAAATGACAAATTTTATGTTGTATATATGTTACCACATCAAAAAGCTAAATATTTCAGATGTTTCACAAGCTGGAAAAAATATATATCATGTTTAAAATTTATATTGTTAATTTTGGGCCATCAACATGATCAATATCCTTGGTAATCCTTATTATATATAATATAACAGATCACCCGAAAGAGTACAGAAATAAGACTGGTCCTTTTTTCTGTAATATGAACTTTCTCCACAATGTGCCCTGTTATCCAAATGATTACTCCAACGATTACTCCTGACCACTTGTTTCTTCTTTAAGACAGACCAAGTTACACCAAGATACATAACCACAGCCACCCTCACATTCCCCTCCCTAGTCCTTGGCCTTTCTCCCAACAAGTTGATTCAAGATAGTGTCAGCTCTGTCTGCTTCCTTCAATGACCTTCCAGTTTATTTATGGCCATTATGTCCCTTTCCCCACTTAATATTACCTTTTTCCCCTGACGCAAAGTGAAAACTAGGTTTTCCTCTGGAAAAATTCCTGGAGACCCTGGTTTTATAAGTTTGATGGTCCTTAGAATAACCTTTCATTTAGAAAAAAAAAAGACTTCATAAACCAGCTACACATTTTGCACCATACATATTTGGGGAGAATCATTTTCTTTCATTTTATTTTTTTTCCTGTTTTCTCTAATAAAACATAATTATATGGAACATGACTGTATCACATCCAGGAATGTTTCCTCTCTCCCCTCATTGGTGCTGACTTCTTGTCAGAGTTCAGGGAAATCTACACACTAAGTTGCCCCACAGAAAATAAACTCTCTCTTTTTGGTGGTTCTTTGGGTGTTCTGACATTTAAAAATAAAGGTAGAAACTTGGTCCAGTAGTCAGGACCTCCATAAAGAAGCATATAGCTGATGTTTACTCAAATGATAGTCTCACTGAAGAGGTTTTAAAGCAATTTGTAAGGAGCAAAATCTACCATTATTTTGTTTTCTTCTTTTGGTTCTTGTTAAACAAGAAATGACTCATGAGATATTCATGATCATTGCACTCCTCTAAGAAAGGGATAGTCTGTTACCAATATTTACATAGCTGCACGAATAAGCAAAGGCAATTTATTTTTAAATGTACACTATTCTAATAATAATTACTATCATCTATACTGTCCTATTACATGACTCTCAATTTAAGTGTTTTTGTGTATTCCCAGATAAAATTTTAAACTCTTCTGAGAAAGTAATAGTCTGTTTCTGAGTTTAAATTTTTTTTTTTTTTTGAATCGGAGTTTCACTTTGTCACCCTGGCTGGAGTGCAGTGGCGCAATCTCGGCTCACTGCAAGCTCCACCTCCCGGGTTCACACCATTCTCCTGCCTCAGCCTCCCGAGTAGCTGGGACTACAGATGCCCGCCACCACGCCTGGCTAATTTTTTGTAGTTTTAGTAGAGACGGGGTTTCACCGTGTTAGCCAGGACGGTCTTGATCTCCTGACCTCGTGATCCGCCCACCTCGGCCTCCCAAGGTGCTGGGATTACAGGCATGAGCCACCGTGCCTGGCCTTCTGAGTTTTATTTTTATCCAAGATGCCTAGCAAAGGTGTGTGTGTATTTATAGATGTGTATCATATGTATCTTATGCATATACATCTTATACATCTTATGATATGTATCTTACATGTATACATATCTTATAAAATATATATACATATGCATATATCTCACACATATATAATTAACATTTTCATACTTAATGTGATTCTCATTTTTAACATACAATTTTTTTTAGAAAGTGAAAACCAAAGAAAAATCATTTAGAATCTTAAAGAGACCTGTGATGGACTTTTAAACATTAATGATGCTATGAATTCCTAAGCTCTGTGTAAACCAAACACATGATTAAAAATGCTTATTTCAAAGTTGTGAAAAATAATTGGCAGGATCAAAAGAAAGGACTCTAGCTCACAGACGAGTCCTCATTCTCATGACAGTAGCGTAAAATAAAAGCACTAGAGCATAAGGTGATCTGATGTAACTATGACAGTTTTCCCCAAGGCAGGATAGAAATTCCTCCCTTTACATATTTTGATATCCCAAATAGGGCTCACTTCCCCATAACTCAAGAATTCCTCATAATTCTTTCACACTGTGTTAGACACAGTCTCTTAAGCAGTTTTATGTGGCACTCTTGAATCTAGACAGGAATAATTTGCTTTGATATTGAAAGGTGAAGGGGCAAACCCCAGAAAGCACCCTCATGAATTTCACAGGCAGGCCTCTTTAACTCAGTTGTTTGCTGGACTGGCCAACTCAAATAAGTGTGTGAGAAATAAAATCAGAGGTCCAGCAAGAGGCTAGAAGGCTGGCTTAATCCTGGCCCAACAGCAGTGTGGTTTAATTCAGTGGAAGTAATTCCACAAATAGAGACAAAATGACAGCAACTTGTTTGGATCTAAGATTTGGCTTCAAGACATGCGCCAATAGGCTTGAGTTGGGATGAATCCCTTGAATTTCTGTGCCATATCCTGTGGAGAAGCTGACTTGACATGCTGTCTTCGAATTCACACATTCTCAATATTTGCTTCTTTTCTGGCTTATTCTCAAATCAGCATCATATACAATGTAAATATCCTACTTCCTATTGCATATCCTTCATGGGCCTCTTGATGACACCAATACTCAGGACACTGTGTTAGTTACACTCAGAGCATTAGAGATTATTGTCAATGCCTTCTGAAATGCCTACTCCTCATTGCCATTTTCCTCTCTTCCTCCTTCTCATTTCAATAAGCTTAATCTGTGCAAAGATGGTTGGCTTACTTAAGACCTAAAACTGCATTTCACAGTACATATTCTGGCTCTTTCAGTACTAAAAGTCAATTATCTTTGTCTTATTATTCCCTCTTTTGTTAGGGGTCAGTGGAATAGTTATAAGGAAACCAGGGAGAATCATAAACCTATTTTTTTTTACATTCCACATTTTCCTATATGGGTTACTAAATATATATTACTAATTACATCATTTTGTTCATGCAAACAATCAAGCAGGAAAAAAAGGAAATATCAAGATGTTGTTATGCATCGCTAATTACAGATGAGAGAACATCATTAAGTTGAAAAGAATTTCACTGCAGGAAAATGGCAAAGAAAAAGAAACAAAGTCGCCTAATATTGTTATTATTCAACAGAGACAGAAAATAAAGAAAATGGAGTTTGAACGTTTCTTCAAAGGTATTGTAGAGATAATTTGATGGATATCTACAATCCAATTTGCTGCTGCTTCTTTGGTTTTTTACAATCATAAGTTCAAACTGCACCATAAGTACATTTTCAAAACAGAGTTCATATAATGACAAAATCTCCCCAGCATGAACAGAAAAAGGGGGGGCTTGAAAATTTCATAGTAATTGGTTGTTTACATGAAATTCTTTATTTCTGTCCCATCTTGGCTACCTTCTGCATAGTATCCTTTATTCCCTTATACTATCATAAACTTTACACCTAAGCCATCTAAACAGGCATACTTCCCCAGTATGATTTCAAAATTTGGTAATGCTGAATTAATCTTAGCTTGCATTATTGAATATATGTTCTTGTGCCTCAGAAACATATTTGTTCATTTTAGATGTTCCCAGGAATAAATTATATTGATACATAATTCAGAATAATAATTTCAGGCCTCGTTGTGCTTTTTATACTGATTGAACTTGTCTGCTAAGTGAGAAGCTTTACACATTAATAGCCTCAGATCTACAAACTCAGTGAATTCATATTATTTATGAAAAAAACCATAGTGTGACTGGCACAATTGAAGAGAAAAAAAACTTGGGCCTATTGAAAATAAATGCCATTTCAATGTGTCTATCTCTTAATCATTAAGGAATAAAGTGAGTCATCTTTATTTAAACTAACAGTTTTTAAGTGGGATAGTGGAAAAAATTTTCTTAGAAGTAATTTTTTTGCACATGTCATGATTTACTTGACTCATGTCTTATAATGTATAATGTAGGTAGTGTCTAAAATTTCTATTACTCCTCAGTAAATATGGAAATATAACTATGAATATTTATAAAAATGCTAGTATAATTTCTTTAGAGATCATTATGATGAACTGAGTTTTGTGGGAAAACAAGAAGAGAAAACGAAAGCTAATGTGATGTTATTTTTTCTGCTAATGCACACAAATCTGCCCCTAATACAAGTCAGGGGGTTACTGAAAGATGCTGTTGTAGAGAGAAGTTGTTTATAATTTAAATGATATGATTTTAGCTCACAGAGGATAGGTAATTGAAATGTTTAGATCATTTAGACACATATTTTAGATATTCTTCTCTCCAAAAGAAAGATTGTACCATATCTGTAGAGTTCTAACTTTTGAATATAAATCTAATGGTTAAAAAAGGCACTTGAAATTGATTTTTTAGAATTGGCAATTCATTAAATCATTTATTCCAAAAATATTTCTGAACACTCCTGTATGTGCTGTGGGGCTAGAATCATGATAAGATACTCAGAACCTGAGTTCTAAGAGAGGTTACAGCTCAACAGTTTGGAGTTCGCACTAGTTTTTACTCTTTCACGGCTGGTAGTCTTCCCAATCTCCTTGGGCTAACAGCTGCCTTCTAAGTAGTGGTGAGGTCTGTGGCTGTGGCAAAGAATTTTTTCTTCGGGAATACATTTCATTTGGAGTGAATCTGCCAACATTACCAGCATCTCTATCCCCAGTAGCAAATAATAGAGCAGACCAATCTAGACAACTTGGAGTCTAAATAACTCAAGTTGGGCTTTATTTTCTTCTTAATTTGGTTTGCACATCAAGAGGAGGTGCTAACATCCTAAGGAAAAAAAAATTGCACGTGCATCTTCCTTTTTCATTCTATCTCCTTTCATTCCAGCTAGGTGTGAAACCAGAAAATCCAAGACAGGTCTCAGTTCATTTAGAAAGCTAATTTTGCCAAGGTTGAGGACGTGCCCGTGACACAGCCTCAGGAAGTCCTGACGACATGAGCCCAAGGTGGTCAGGGCACAGTTTGGTTTTATACATTTTAGGGAGACATGAGACATCAATCAATATATGTAAGAAGTACATTGGTTTGGTCTAGAAAGGCGGGACAACTTGAAGCAAAGGCAGGAAGAGTGGAAACAGGGAGGGAGCTTCCAGGTCACAGATAGGTGAGACACAAATGGTTACATTCCTTTAGGTTTCTGATTAGCCTTTCCTAATGAGACAAATCAGATACGCATCTATCTCAGTGAGCAGAGGGGTGATTTTGAATAGAACAGGAGGCAGGCTTGCCCAAGCAGTTTCCAGCTTGAGTTTATCTTAGTGATTTTGGGGACCCAAGATATTTTCCTTTCACATTTCCTCCCTTTTCTTTTTAAAAATCTTTTGGGGAAAGCATTTTACAAGAAGTTTAGTCTCTGGTCTCAGGTTTCATCTGATCTCTCATGGCTAGGACAGTATATTCCTAGATGGGTAGGTCCCAAAAGCTCATTTTTAGCAGGTTGTGAAGCCTCATGTCCTGTGAAGATAAAGTAGGGAAGAGGAAGGGAGAAAACACAACAAACAAAAGAACAATCCTGGAAAAAGCAATATAGGCCACATTACTCTGAAGTCCATACATTAATAGGCAGGTATGAAAGTGGCTTATGTATGTAAATAAGTTGCTGTTATTTTCTTCTGAAGTTTAATTTGTCTGGCTTCAGTTCGCAGGTTGGTTCCTTCCAAGCCTCTGGTATCTATCATTTCATCTTCTACCTCCATGAAATCGACTTCTTTAGCTCCCACATATTAGTGAGAATATGCAATATTTGTCTTTCTGTGCCTGGTTTATTTCACTTAACATAATGATCTCCAATTCCAACCATGCTGGTGCCAATGACATATTTTATTGTTTTTTTAATGGCCAAATAGTATTCGATTTTGTACATGTACCACATTTTCTTTACCCATTCATCCACTGATAGACATTTAAGTTGATTCCATATCTTTGCTATTGTAAATAGTATTTAACAAACTTACTGAGTACATATTAAATATGTAATTTTTGAAGCTATGTTATATTTGTTTTATTTATATTTTAATGTAAAGCTTATAGGAATTTTATGGAATGTATTTTTTTAATTATACTTTAAGTTCTAGGGTACATGTGCACAACGTGCAGGTTTGTTACATATGTATACCTGTGCCATGTTGGTGTGCTGCACCCATTAACTCATCATTTACATTAGGTATATATCCTAATGCTATCCCTCCCCCCTCCCCCAACCCCACGACAGGCCCCGGTGTGTGATGTTCCCCTTCCTGTGTCCAAGTGTTTTCATGTTCAATTCCCACCTATGAGTGAGAACATGCGGTGTTTGGTTTTTTGTCCTTGCAATAGTTTGCTGAGAATGATGGTTTCCAGCTTTATCCATGTCACTACAAAAGACATGAACTCATCCTTTTTTATGGCTGCATAGTATTCCATAGTGTATATGTGCCACATTTTCTTAATCCAGTCTATCATTGATGGACGTTTGGGTTGGTTCCAAGTCTGCTATTGTGAATAGTGCCACAATAAACATACGTGTGCATGTGTCTTTATAGCAGCATGATTTATAATCCTTATTACCCAGTAATAGGATGGCTGGGACAAATGGTATTTCTAGTTCTAGATCCTTGAGGAATCGCCACACTGTCTTCCACAATGGCTGAACTAGTTTACAGTCCCACGAAGATTGTAAAAGTATTCCCGTATTTTGAAACTGATTTTTAAAGAGGATGAACTGAAATTCAGTAAGACTGAAGAATTTGCCAAGGATAGACAACTACAAATATAGACTGATTCTCAAATATGTGATTTCTCCTCTATGTTTTAATGTGTCAGAATTTCATAAATGGTTAAGCTCTTTATATGTCTATTAGGTTTCATCTTTCCGGAAGCTATTGCACACCAGTCTAAGTCAAATAGGAGTAGCTCTGCTGTATTTGTTAAGGCTGAGAAAAATACTGACTGCCTGAAAAGAACAGCTATGTCCTGGAAAAAGCAAATGTGGTTGGAAATTTTTATTATAGAGTAAGAGGACCACAGTAAGAAGTCATCCAAAAGTACATAAGGAGTCACTTGAAGAATCCTTTATTCATCTTGATACTTTGTTAGTTAGGCATCCACTGATGGTAAGAAG
Organism: Homo sapiens; assembly: GCF_000001405.40. NCBI lineage: Eukaryota > Metazoa > Chordata > Mammalia > Primates > Hominidae > Homo > Homo sapiens. The sequence continues at coordinate 35,346,786 of NC_000023.11, forward strand.
ACTGTGGTTCCTCTATTTATGAAGGCTGAAGGAATCTGTACCTGAGTTTAACAACATACAATTTAGTGAACTCCAATTTTATGTGCAAGGTATGAAATATTTATATATGTAAGTCTGAGTGTTATGATGTTTGCTTTATTTATTGAGTCTTTTCCTTTCTCAGATGTCAGGGCACTAACCACATCATCCATGCTCCTGAAAAACACCATGCTGTAGTTTATGTAGTTTAAATGTGATGCTAGCTGCTTCTCTGGGAACAAGAAGCCTTCTCCTTCAGCTGCTGAACTGGAAAATCTTTGTTGTTGTTCTTTGAATGGTACCTCGACCAGAGGCTCATTTTTCCCTCAGGAACTCGAACACAATGGCGTGGGAAAGATCTCTTATTTTTAGCTTCTCTGAAGACATATGTCCTCATTGATGACATTCAGTTTCTGCAGGGGAAAACCTTCAGCATCCACCATGCTGAGAAATGAGCAACACACCAGACAAAAATTGACTCAGTACTAATGAAAATCTTCGGGGAAAACAAGTCTGCTGTTCAGTAGATACCATTGCATTGTACAACACAAATATCATTTTTTTTATTTTGGCAATGAGAAATCTGCTCTAATACAGCATTAGATTGAGATGGTTTCCGAATGTTGAATATAGCTCAGAACAATGAGGATATAAGAATTTAGTATAGAGAGGGAGAAGGAAAGAGTCCTCAAGGAAAAAACATGTATCAGAGATAAAGTTTTGAAGTTTGAAGCTTTAAAGTATTCTTACTATATTGTGGCCATACCTCCTTTTTGTGGTTGTGATACAGCTTCATCTCATTTGTTTTGTTTAAAAAATTAAACCATGATTTGTAGATGACAAATGTTTTCTTGAAGTCAAAACCCTATTGCTTATTTTATCAATTATTGTTTGGCTTCAGCAAGTTATTCACTTTCTTTGAAACTTAGCTTCTGTGGCATATTGAATTTTCCAAAGATGACTACAACAATATCCCCCAACCCCTTCTAGAACATGCCCTTCTAGAGGCCAGGCGCGGTGGCTCACGCCTGTAATCCCAGCACTTTGGGAGGCTGAGGCAGGCAGATCACAAGGTCAGGAGATCAAGACCATCGTGGCTAACATGGTGAAACCCTGTCTCTACTTAAAATACAAAAAGAAATTAGCCGGGTGTGGTGGCGGGCACCTGTAGTCCCAGCTACTCGGGAGGCTGAGGCAAGAGAATGGCGTGAACCCAGGAGGCGGAGCTTGCAGTGAGTCGAGATCTCACCACTGCACTCCAGCCTGGGTGACAGAACAAGACTCTGTCTCAAAAAAAAAAAAAAAAAAAAAAGAACACGCCCTTCTAGAACATTGCCACTTTCTTTTCAATGCATGGACTCTTATTCCCCTCTTCTTTAATCTGCACGGGTTTGTGACTTATTTTTAACCAATAGGGTGAGGTAGCAGTGATACTGCTTGATTATTAAGGCTAGGTCATAATAGATAATGCTGCTCCTGCTTTTTTCACTAGATCATTTGCTCTTGGATTCCTGGGCCACCACATTCAAAATTCAATTACCCAGAGGCTTCCATGCGATAAGGAAGCCAAGTCATGAGTGAGGGCATGTTCCTTCTGTTAGCAGTCCCAGTCTTCAAATCCTCCTAGCCTAGGGAATATTTGAATTTTAGAGTATTTGAGTTCAGAGTGGTATGGTGAACCCAGGTGAAAGAGCCTCACATTAAAACAGCCCCTGCCCTCAATTTAACCTCAGGCTTTCCAACTGAGACACCTGACATCATAGAGAAGAAACAAGAGTCCTCTGCTATACCTATTCTATATTTCTGACCCACAGAATCCATGAGTATAATAAAATATGCTTATGATACTACCTTTATAGTGTTTTTGTGTACATTTGTACCTGAGTACAATTATAACCAGGACACACTTCACATAAAGTTGAGGGAATACAATTAGTTTATGTATGGAAAAACTTCCTAAGCTGTAAAGTTCATCTTTCTTAAATGAAGACATTTCTCTTTTTCTGCCTTGTAACTCAAGGCCTGCAGATATTACAGGGCCCTGTTTCCTAGCAATCTTCACTTTCAAATCACCTCTCCTTCATCCTAAAGGAACCCTAAGTTTTTTGAAAATAGTAATTTCTGCAAAAGTATCACACACACTATATATGTGTGTGTGTGTGTATAAATGCATACATATTTTCGTGTTTACCATTGACACATGGATACTGATAAGACAATGTATTTACTAGGAAAACATGTTTACAAACACAAGTAGTCATTTAGTAATACTATTTTTGGAATATATATATATACCATAAAAAACTCATGCATTTTGGTATTGAATAACTTTTTTCAAGAGAAAGAACTTAGGTTAATGTCAGTTCAGCTGACATTTTTTTCACTAAAAACATGAAACATTTTGTAGTTATATGTAAAGTTATATTATCCCAAAGATACATCATAAATGCATAGTCTCCCCACTTTTTTTCTTCTCTGTCCTTTTAAAGACCCTAGGAGATACAGAAGGCCTCAGAAATACATGGAACATACGTTCTTGAGTGGCATCAGGATCTCTCTTCAGTTTTTGACCATGACTTGATTTTCTTTTTGAGTTGGCACAGTTCTTATTTTCTCTAAAGTTGAGCCTTTTCCACATACAAAAACCCCCTTTACATGTAATAGCTAAGAAGTATAACAAAATGTCAGTTACTAGGTGTCCCAGCATCCTGGGAAACCCATAATGACTGTGGATGGTTGAACAGACATAGTATGAGTCCTACATAAACAATATTGAAGTGGCTTGGAAAAAGGGGAAATAGGTCATAATAATACAAATCAGGGCTTGATACTTTCCATAATGAAATATTTTACAAATTTCCCTCTTCTTTAATTTTAAAAGGATATTTTTCTTATTTTTATGCATTTTTACTTATGGTATCACATAAAATTAAAAGCATTAGAAAAAATCTAAAAGATTAAAAATGTGTTTTTTTAAAAAGGAACCTTAAAGTTTTTAAAAAATCACAAAAAAGACTATTCCCAAAAGAACTTATTATAATCATTCCAAAAGGAGGTATTTTTCTCACTATTCATCAAGCTGATTAGCAAAATATTTCAGCAACCAGGAAGTCATTTTCTATCACTTCAAGTGCCTGAAACTTAGTTCAAGGTGTGAGTAAATTGAAAATAATTGTTGAAATATAGGAAAAAATAAAATAGATTTTTTCATATGTAGAATTACCATTTTCTTAAAGGTGTCAATAGCATTCTTTGCATTTTAGAGTAATTTGGTTCAGAATGATATAGACATGTCATTTACCTTAGAAATCACATGGAGATTATTTGAAAATAACATTTGTCATTATATTGCTAAACCTCTATATATACTCTATTAGACACAGCCTTTCCTTATTCTTCGAATTTATTTTTCTGCACTATAGAGTTCAGTCAATTCTGCCACCAGACTCTGGTTTATGTTCGTTTTGACTTCATCCTATCTTAGTACTGACCTATATGATATCATACCTTCTCTGTAAAACCTACTACAATCTGATTCTCATTAATAATGTACATATCAGGATCCTCCTGTGTGTTTAAATAGGATTTTATCCTATTAAGATTGAACACAGCTTAGCTAGTAAGTAGGTCCTTTTCCCCATAAGTTGCTAGAGTATAGCAGTTCTGATGATATTTTTATGTCAGGTCTGCCCTGACAGTAGATAAACAGTTACTCTCCTAGGCCAACAGAAAAACTTGTCACAATTTTTAATTTAAAATTTTTTTGAGGGGGGACAGAGTCTCACTCTGTCACCCAGGCTGGAGTGCAGTGGCGCCATTAATTTAAATTTTTAATAATGGACGGTAAATGGGTTGGTTTATCTAGTAAAAGATTCAGGAAAGGTGAGTGGTAAGGTCCAAAAGAGGAAAAGGAGGCAGAGGTAATTTAGTTCTTTTGGTAGATATTTATCATACTCTTACTTAGAATCTTGCTATCCAAATTTTCAAAAACACATGATTGTTCAAAGTAAGAATTTTAGTTAGACACAGTTGCAAGATTTAAATGAGAAACAACGTGCAGAAGGGAGAATTTTCCCACTTCTTCATTCATTGTTTGAGGTCATTTTACTGCATCTATTACAATCACTTTACATATAGTATGAGGACTTAATATACTTCCATTTCTCCCCTTCTGGTCTTTCTGCTCTTGTTTGTATGCACTTTACTCTTACATACATTATAAAGTCTACAATATAGTATTATTATTATGGTTTAGAAAGTGAGATTCTGTACCCAAACATGGTAGAAACACAAAATAGCCTTTTAAATCAGGACTTCAACCTTGTCCCACTAATGCACCATTCTGTGGATGTCCCAAGTTTTAGTAGGAAATGCTCTCATATTCTGAATGAGATTTAAAAGATGAAGAGAAGTCAAAAGTGAAAGAGAATGATGAGAACTGCTGGATTTAAGGAATTGTGTTCTTCCATTCCAGAGTTGGAGAGGCAGGAAGGCTGCATAGGTATCATCTTAGTTTGTGTGGTGCTGCTATAACTGAATATGTGAGACTGAATAGTTTACAAGAACAGACATGTATTTCTTACAGATCTGGAGGTTGGAAAGTCCAAGATCGAGAGGCCACATCTGGTGAGAATGTTTTTGTTGTAGCAACCCACAGCAGAATGTGGAAGGGCAAGACAGAACATGTATAAGAGAGAGAGGACCAAACATGCTTTTATAACAAATCCACTCTAGCAGTAATAAACTCACTCCAACAATAACAACACTGAGCCCTCATGACCTAATTAACTCTTAAAGGTCCCTCCTCTTAAAACTGTTGCACTGGAAATTAATTTTCCAATACCTGAACTTTGAGGAACACATTCAAACCGCAGCAGATGTGTTCAGTCCATGAAATTCTTTGTGCTATGCATTTATAATTGGTGAAATTTTCTGTATATATTCCATAGTTCAATAAAAAATGCAAATGTAAAAGGCAATATCGAAAAAAATTTCAAGGAGATAAAAGAGAGAGGAAATATTTTATTTTACCAACTGAGGTGTCAGATGTAATAGCAATATATGATGATTTATCTTAACCATCTGTAAATTACCTTGTTTCACCAATTTATTTAATGGGAAACTCAGTTTTCAAACAAAAAGAAAAAAAGAGGAAGTGGGAAAGAGCCAAGATGGTCAACTAGATGCAGCCAGAAAGAGCTTCACACATGAAGACAGACACAACTATCAAGTAGACTGGCACACGCTGAACACTGAGAAAGAAAACATTGAGAGTGGAAAAATGGAGGATGCAAGCCCTGGGCTGAAAGAAAAGAAAGCTGAGAACCCTGCAAGGAGTTGCCAAGTAGCAGGACTCATTTCTGGCCCTCGGCGGCTCCTAGGGAATGGGTGAGTGAAACAGCCATGGAGCGTCCCACTCCTACCACAGATTTCCATAATCCTAGCTGTGTGAGACCACATGACTCCACTGACATTTAGCTGGCAGGGAGAGTTGGCAAAGACAGAACTCCAACCTGTGCTGAGCGCAGATGGTTTGGCACTGGAACAGCTGCAGTGGAGCATGGACATGGGCACCCATCCCACAAGGCTGACCATATTTTTCTAGGCAACTTTAGACTTTGTTAGTTGCTGAATCTGCACAGAACAGAGCTGTCCTGCCTATAAAACTGGGTCAATCTGAGAGTCCCCCTGTCTACCAGTCTCTCCCAGGGTCCCTGCCTGGCTGTACCTGCGTAGAACACAGCCTCAGCTGCCCAGCCTAAATGCTTGCTAGCAGCCAGTGCCATACTTCTTTCTCTAGAAGACACTGCATACCTGTCAGAGTACTGTTGCAAATGGACCACTGCTGGTGTGCACCTGCTTTCAGCCTTCCTCCACCAGCATGCATTCACTTCCAGCCTTCCCCCCTGCCTCACCAGCATGCATGTGCATGCAGAACCCCCACTGCCCTGCCAGCATGAATGAGCACACAGGGATGCCTGACACCCCACTGGCACACATGCACACAGGAACCCACAACTGCTCTGCTGGTGCACATACATGCAAGAAACCCCACTACCTCACTGGCTCATTTTTGCCTACAGCCCCCATTGGAGAATTGGTGCCAGTGGACTGGAAATACCTTGGCCCCTCAGTGGAGCAGGTGCTTAATTTCAAGGGGCCAGAGAACAAAGCTAAGGGCCTGATCCTAGGCCCCCAGGATTATAACACATAGCCCAGGAGTGCTGAGCTGAAGCTTGCCCCACTGAAAGCATGCAGAATAAAGCCAATCAGCTGAACCCAATCTATAGCACAGTCAAACCTTCAAGGGCATTAAAGAATATAAAAGCAAAAAACCCTATCCAGAAAAATAGCAATTCCCAAAACTAAAGTAACATCTGACCACACAGAAGAGAAAAAAAAAATAATAATAACAGAAAAAGAACTCTGGCAACAGTAAAAGCTAGAGTGTCTTCTTAACTCCAAATGACTACAGTAGCTCCCTATCAGTGCTTTCTAACCAGACTGAAATCCTGAAATCAGAGACATAGAACTCAGAATCTGGATAGTAAGAAGGCTCATCAAAATACAGGAAAAAATGGAAACCCTATCAAAGGAACACAATAAAACAGTCCATGAAATGAAAGACGACATAGCCATTATAAGAAAGAACCAAACTGAACTTCTCAAAAAAAAATCCACTACAGTTAATAAAAAATGCAATTGGAAGAAATAATAACAATACACCAAGCTGAGGAAGAATTTCAGAGCTCAAATATGGCTCCTTTGAATCAATGCAGACAGACAAAAATAAGGAAAAAATAGTTTTAAAAAATGAACAAAACCTCTGAGAAATACGAGATTATTTAAAAAGACTCAATCTACAATTCATTAGCATTCCTGAAAGAGATGGAGAGAGCAAGAAACATTGAAAATATATTTGAAAATATTGTCCACAAAAATTTCTGCAACCTTGCCAAAGAGAATGATATATAAATTCAGAAAATTCAGAAAACCCCTATAAGATACTCTACAAGACAGCCATCCCCAAAACACATAGACATGAGATTATTCAAAGTTAATGCAAAAGAAATATCATAAAGGCAGCTAGAGAGAAAGGGCATATAACATACAAAGGGAACTCCTTCAGGCTAACAGTAGATCTTTCAGAAGAAACCTTACAAGCCAGAAGGGATTGGAGGTCTATATTCAACCCTCTAAAAGAAAACAATTTTCAACCAAGAATTAGATATCCACTCAAACTAAGCTTCATAAGCAAAGAAGACAGAAAATCCTTTACAGACAAGCAAATCCTAAGTGAATTTGTTACCACCAGACCTACACTACAAGAGGTCCTTAAGGGAAGGCTAAACATGAAAACAAAAGAACAGTGCCTGCCAACAATAACACACTTAAGTAAATAGCCCTCTGACACTATAAAACAACTCTACAATCAAATATACATAACAACCAGCTAAAAACATGATGACAGGATCAAATCCTCACATATCAATATTAACCTTGAATGTAAAGAAACTAAATGCCTCACTTAAAAGACACGGAGTGGCAAGTTGGATAAACAAGTAAGACTCAACTCTATGCTGTCTTCAACAGACCAATCTCACATGCACTAACACCTATAGACTCAAAGTAAAGGGACTGAGAAAGATCTATTAAGCAAATGGAAAACAAAAAAAGCAGGGTGGTTGTTCTTATTTTAGACAAAACAGACTTTAAACCAATAATGATCAAAAAGGACGAAGAAGGGCATTACACAGTGATAAAATGATTCTATGGAACAAGATGACTTAGTATCCAAAATATGTATGCATCCAACACTAGAGCATCCAGATTCACAAAACAAGTTCTTAGAGACCTTTGAAGAGGGTTAGATAACCACATAATAATAGTGGAAGACTTCAACACACCACTGACAGTGTTAGACAAATCATCGAGGCAGAAAACCAGCAAAGATATTTGGGACCTATATTCAACACTTGACCAAATGAACCTAACAGACATTTACAGAATACTCCACCCAACAACAACAGAATACACATTTTTCTCATCTATACATAGCACATATTCTAAGATCAACCACATAAAGTAATTGTGGTTTATGCTGAACAGTACTAAACAGAACTAAAACATCACATGAGCAGAACTAAAAACCACATGATCATCTCAATAGATGAAGAAAGGGCTTAAAATAAAATTCAGCATCCCTTAGTGTTAAAAATCATTAACAATCTAGGCACTGAAGGAATATGCTTCAAAGTAATAAGACCCATCTATGAAAAACCCACAGCCAACATTATACTGAATGGGCAAAAGCTGGAAGCATTCCACCTGAGAACTGGAGCAAGACAAGAATGCCCGCTCTCACCACTTCTGTTCAACATAGTGTTGGAAGTCCTTGTTAGAGCAATTAGGCAAGAGAAAGAAATAAAACACATCCAAATAGGGAGAGAGGAAGTCAAACTATCACTGTTTGAAATATGATTCTACACTTCTTTCTGCCCAAAGGCTCCTGGAAGTGATAAACAACTTCAGCAAAGTTTCAGCATGAAAATCAATGTACAAAAATTAGTAGCACTTCTATACAGCAATAACATACAAGTTGAGAACCAAATTAAGAAGGCAATCCCATTCACAATAAACACAAAAGAATAAAGTATCTAGGAGTACAGCTAACCAGAGAGGTGAAATATCTCTACAATAAGCATTACAAAACAATACTGAAATAATGCAGAGATGGCACAAATAAATGGAAAACCATTCCATGCTCATGGACAGGAAAAATCAATATTGTTATAATGGCCATTCTCTCCAAAGCAATTTACAGATTCAATGCTATTTCTATCAAACTATAAAGGACATTTTTCAGAGAATTAGAACAAATTTATTCTAAAACCATATGGAACCAAACGAGGCTGAATAGCCAAAGTAGTCCTAAGCAAAAAGAACAAAGCTGGAGGCATCACACTACTTGACTTGAAACTGTACTGCAAGGTTACAGTAACCAAAACAACATGGTACTGGCATGCAAACAGACACCTAGGCCATTGGACCTGGTTAGTGAACACAGAAATAAAGGCACACACCTACAACTATTTGATCTTTGAAAAAGGTGACAATAACAAGCAATGGGGAAAGGACTCTCTATTCAATAAATGCTGCTGGAATAAGTGGCTAGGAATTTATCTATCTCTTCTAGGTTTTTTAGTTTGTGTGCATAGAGGTGTTCACAGTAGTTTCTGATGGTTATTTTTATTTCTGTAGGGTCAGTGGTAACATTCCCTTTATTATTTCTAATTGTGTTTATTTGAATCTTCTCTCTTTTCTTTTTTATTATTCTAGCTAGCAGCCTATCTTAATTGTTTTTCAAAAGACCAACTCCTGTATTTGTTTATTTTTTAATAGATTTTCATGTGTCATTTTCCTTCATTTTGGCTCTGATTGTGTTATTTCTTGTCTTCTGCTAGCTTGTGGGTTGATTTATTCTTGCTTCTCTACTTCTTTCCATTGCAATAAGTTGTTAAGTTGAGATCTTTATTTTTGATGTGGATATTTAGTGCTATGAATTTTCCTCTTAACACTGTCTTAGTTGTGTCCCAGAGATTCTGGTATGTTGTATCTTTTTTCTCATTCGTTTCAAAAATCTTCTTGATTTCTGCCTTAATTTCATTATTTAACCCAAAATCATTCAGAAGCATGCTGTTTTATTTCTATGTAATTGCATGGTTTTGAGTGATTTCCATAGTCTTGACTTCTATTTTTATTGTGCTATGGTTCAAGAGTATGTTTGGTATGATTTTATTTCTTTGAATTTGCTGAGGATTGTTTTATGTCCAATTATGTGGTCAATTTTAGAGTATGTGCCACGTGGGAATGAGAAGAATGTATATTATGTTGATTTTTGGTGGAGAGTTCTATTGAAATCTATCAGATCCATTTGGTCCAATGTTGAGTTTATGTCCTGAAGATCTTTGTTAATTTTCTGCTTCGATGACCTGTTTAATATTGTTAGTGGAGTGATGAAGTTTTCCATTATTATTTTGTAGAAGTCTGTGTCTCTTTGTAGGTCTCTAAGGACTTCCCTTATGAATCTGGGTGCTCCTGTGTTGGGTGCATATATATTTGGGATAGTTAGGTCTTCCTGTTGAATTGAACCCTCCTTTACCATTATATAATATCATTCTTTGTCTTTTTTACCTTTCTGGTTAAAATTCTGCTTTGTCTGAAATTAGAATTGCAACCCCTGCTTTTTTCTGTTTTCCATTTGCTTGGTAGATTTTCCTCCATCCCTTTATTTTAAGCCTGTGGGTATCATGATGTGTAAGATGGGTCTCTTGAAGACAGCATACCATTAGGTCTTATTTTTTTCTTCAGTCTGCCACTCTGTACTTTTTACGTGGGGCATTTAGCCTATTTATATTCAAGGTTATTATTAACATGTGTGGATTTGATCCTACTATTGTGCTGTTAGTTGGTTACTATGTTGGCTTGTTTGTGTGGTTGCTTTAGAGTGTCACTGGTCTGTATGTTTAAACATGTTTTATGTTAGCTGGCAGCAGTCTTTCCTTTCCATATTTAGTGCCTCTTTCAAGATCTCATGTAAGGCAGGTCTGGTGGCAATAAGCTCTCTCAACATTTGCTTATCTGAAAAGGATATTATTTCTCTTTAACTTGAGAAGATTAGTTGGTTGGATATGAAATTATTGGTTGAAGGTTTTTCTCTTTACAAATGTTGAATATAGGCTCCCAATCTTTTCTGGCTTGTAGGGTTTCAGCTGAGCAGTTTTCTGTTAGCTTGATAGTGTTCCTTTTACAGGTGACCTACCCATTCTCTGTAGCTGCCTTTAACATTCTTTATTTTCAACCTTAAAAAAAATCTGATGATTATGTGTCCTGGGGATGATATTCTTGTTAGAATCTTGCAAGAGCGTTCAGTATTTCCTGAATTTGACTGTTTGCCTCTCTAGCATGGTTGGGAAAGTTTTCATGGATGATATGCTGAAATATGTTCACCAAGTTGTTTGCTTTGTCCCCCTCCCTTTTGGGGATGCCAATGATTCATAGATTTGGCCTCTTTACATAATCCCATACTCTCAGACGTTTTGTTCATTCCATTTTATTCTTTTTTATTTATTTTTGTCTGACTGCCCTATTTCAGAGAACCAGTCTTCAAGTTCTGAGATTTTTTTCTTCAGCTTAGTTTACTCAACTGTTAATACTTGTGATTGCATCGTGAAATTTTTGTATTGTGTTATTCAGCTCTGTCAGACTCATTAGCTTCTTTCCCATACAGACTGTTTCATCTTTCAGCTCCTTTATTGCTTTATTTTGATTCTTAGTTTCCTTAAATTGGGTTTTCCTATCCTCCTGAATCTCAATGATCTTTTTTCCTATTTATATGCTGAATTCTATTTCTGTCATTCCAGCCAGTTCAGCTGGTTAAGAACTCTTCTTTGAGAACAGGAGTGGTTGTTTGGAGGACATACAACACTCTGGCCATTTGAGTTACTGGACTTCTTGCATTGGTTCTATCTCTCTATGTGGGTATTCTTTTAACTGCAATGTAGAATGAGTACAGTTAATAGACATCTTTTATGGATTTTTTTCACAGGGCTGAAGCTTTGCGCAGAGTCTTTATTTGCAGCTGACTTCTTGTCTCTCGTTTCAGAAGGGGGTATGTTAGCAAGGTGTTTTTGGTGTTGAAGCTTTGGAATGTGATGCAGGAGGTGGCACTTAGATTTACTGGTCAGTTGGTAGACTCTTGCCCAGTTGTGTGGCTCCCCTATGTTTCCTCATAGTTTCAACTGTGTTAACTTTCAATACTCTAAAATGTGGGTTCCTCTTCCCCTTAATGCTGGCTGTAGGTTGTGACTTGCCATTCCTGGGCTGCCCACTGCAGCTCTGGGACAATCCAGTGTTTATGTTCATTCCCCAACTTGAAGGTAGCAGAAGGGACCTTAGTAGTGGGTATGGCCAAGGATCTTTTGCTTGTCTGCTGGAGGCTCCACCACAGAGAGTTGCAGGTCAGCAATTGCTCAGTGCAGTCAACCCAGGATGGAAGGTCTGTGCTGTGAGTGCAAGCTGGGGGTTCCCTGTCTGGTGATGAGCAGTGGGGGATGGGTGGGACCTGTGGGAGACAGACTGGCCTCCCCTCCTTTGGTGAACTGTAGCTTGTTACAGGTGTGGATGAAGCACTTAGTGTCTTTGCTCCTTCGTTAGTCCATGGGTAGCAAGGGCAGTTCCACTGCAGAGGCAGTGGTAGAGAGGCTTTTACTTGCCCCTGGGGTCTCTGTCCAGTGGGCTGCTGAACAGCTACTGGCTTGACAACTCTGGCAGGAGAGTGGCTGGAGGCCCAGGCCTGGAGGACCTGCTCAGTGAGGAGATGTGAGAACAAGCACCCACATAACCATCTCACCACTTTTCTGTAGGACTCCTGTGGTATGCTGGGAACCACTCTAGTCCCTAGTCACCTCAGATTTTCCAGTGCCTGGAGGTATCAGCATTGAAGCCTGCAAAACAGCAAAGATGGTGGCTTGCCCCTCCCTCTGGGAACTCCATCTGAGGGAGGTACATTCCTGTTGCCAGCTTGAACACACCTATAGGAGGTGGCTGGAGACCTTGGTTAAGAGGTTCCCCCCAGCAGTAAGGAGGAAAAAGATCAGGGACCTGTTTACAAAAGCAGTCTGGCCACATTTTTGTAGGGCAGCTGTGCTGTGCTGGGAGACTGCTCTCACCCCTGGTCAGCTTGGCCTCTCCAAAGCCCAAAGACTAGAATGGCTAATTTGCCCAAAGAGCAAAGAGGGCTGCCCAACTCTCCCTCTGGGAGCTCCGTCAGCTGGAGAACACTGGTGGGGGTGGCTGGAGACCCCGGTTGGGACATCCTTCCCAGTGAGGTGAAATAGGATTGGGGACCTACTTTAAAATGAAGTCTGGGCATGTTTTCAAAGAGCAGCTCTGCTGTGAAGGGGACCACTTCTGCCCCTGTTCAGTTTGGGCTCTCCAAGGCCCAGAGGCTGAAATGGCTAAGTCACTCAATCAGCAAAGATGGTGGCCCACCCCTTCCTCTAGGTGTTTTGCCCCAGGAAGGTTTTAAATCTCTGGCTGGAGAACACTAGCAGAGGTGGCTAGAGACCTCAGTTAGGAGGTCCCACCCAGTGAGGAAGAATGGGATTAGGGAACTGCTTAAAAAAGCAGTCTGGTCATGTTTCCATAGAGCAGCTGTGCTGTGCTGGGGGATGGTTTCTGTCCCTGGTCAGCTTGGACTCTCCAAAGCTCAAAGTCTGGAACAGCTAAGTTGTCTAATAAGCAAAGATGGCAGCCTGCCCCTTCCCTTGGAAGCTCCATCTCAGGGAGGTGCAATGCTGCTACCAGTAGTTGGCTGCAATTCCAAGTCAGTGGGTCTTATCCTGTGAGGTGCCATGGAAATGAGACAGCCAGTTGGGACGTGTTCCCTAGCAAAACTCCATTCTGCACTGGGATGGAGCCACAGAAGTTTGTGCTTTTTGCAGGAGGGAAGAGCCCGGTCCCTCCTCTTCTTGTGTAGAACCTGGGATTCAAACTGCAAGGGGGGAATTGCACCAGCAGGGGCTCTGGCTTTGCAGGGGGCCCCTGTTTCCCCTTTTCTTCCTTTTCATCCAATAAAATCCTGCCCTGCTCATCCTTCAAATTGTCTGCAAGCCTAAATTTTCATGGCTGTGTGATAAGAACCCCCATCTTTAGCTGGACTAAGGAAAATTCCTGCAACAGAAGTGGGGCCTCCAGACTGTTGCTGCTCAGCCCTGTGGATTCAGCCTCTTTCCTAGGGGTATGTATGGGGACTAACCTCCCATTTTGCCAAAGTTGCATCTACTTTTGCCGGGAAGCCCAGAAAGCCCGGGTATCTAAGGCTCCTGGGTCTCTGGGTGTGCCTGAGAAGGTTCTCCTCCAAGACTCTATGTCGTTCTGTGTGTCAGACTGAAGGCTGTGGTGGAGTGAGTTCACAAGGCGATCTCCTGACCTGAGGGTTGCAATGATCTGTGGGAAAGTGTGGGGTCCTGGGGTTGCACATTCACTCACCATTTCTCTGGGCGGGGGAGGTTCCCACGGTTCCATGTCACTCCCAGGTGGGCTGTCATCCTGCCTTGCTTTCCTCCATTCTCCGTGGGTTGAGTTGTTTGTTTGATTAGTCCCATTGCATGTACCTGTATGTTTCAGTTGAAGGTGCTATATTTACTTTCCCCTTCTGTTCCTCTCCAGGAGAGCTGCATACACTAGTTGCTTCTAGTTGGCTATCTTGGCCACTTTCTGCCAATTTCTCTGTTGTTGACAAATTATAGTTGTATATATTTATGAGGTACAAAGTGGTTTTATGATTTTTGAATATCATACAGAATAATTTAAATTAATTAATATATCATCTCAAATATTTCACATTTTTTTGATAAGAAAATTAGGAATTTTTTAAGCATTATTGAAATGTATAGTACTCAATTATTAGCTATATCCAGGATGCTGTACTATGTATCTCAAAAAAATGAACTTATCCCTTCTATCTAACTGAGGCTTTGAAAATGTTGTAGATAAAAATAATGCGTGATGGGTTTTCTAACCTCTGAGAAATATTTTGAAGAGGTAATTGATTATTTATTTAACAAGAGTGAAATCCTAAAATCCTAATAATGCTTTACACATGGCTCTATGTAGTTTTCAAAATAGCTCTACATAAATTATTCTGGTTGATTTTGACAGCTTCCTTGTAATATAGGTATTGGCCAGCTTGGTTTTATACAAGAAAGAATTAAAGTTCTAAAATATATTGTGAATAATCACTGTCCTAATAGTTAATTACCAAAAAAAACTAACCAAATCTAGAACCCTGGGCTGCATCCTGCAGAATTCTGTACTGTTTTCCCTACCCCTTTGCCTCCCTTGAAACAAGTTCAGAGACAGCAAAACAATCTGAATCAAGAAGATTTTGTTAATCACTTAAAATCTAGAATTACTATCATGTAAACGGTCATGATTTGTGAGAGCTTATCATGGACCAGCCTCTCACTGAGTGCTCTGCATGTGTTGTTTGCTACACTCTTTATTGTAGCTCCAAGAAAGACTTTGATTATCATCTTTAATTTACATATAAGGAAATTGAGGTTTAAAGAAGTTAAACTTATTTGTCCAGTGTCTTGTAGCAAATAAACTGAAGACCAAAGAAGTAAACCCATTGTCTGTCTTGAGAGGCCAAGATATGCGGTATTAAATTCACAACTAAAAAATAGACCCCACCTTTGGGTATTATATCATATTGTTTTCCCCTTAAGGGCAGAAATTTACATACTTTATCTCCAAAGTCCTGTGGCGCTTGGCCTTAGGCACAAAATAGGCTTAATGAGAACTTACTGCACAAGAAGGTGCAACTAGTTCAAAAAGGTGGGCCTCTCATATCCCTGCCTTCCCACTGGGCACTGGCAAAGAAGATGAGTGGAATATTTTAGGCAATTGATTAATGGATCAACTCTAACAAGAATGATTCTGCATTCAGTTATCTCTGAGGAAACTGTGAGTATGAAATACTGATCACATGTTAAATCGATTTATAATTGTATAAGCTTGTTTATCCACAGGCGAGTCTTGGAGATTCTTGTTTGAGGTACATGAACTAAATACGCTGTTGTCTTTTACCTCGGGAAGGAGGTGCAAGGCATTATTTTAAAATGTCTGCATTTCAGTTCACTATAGTACCTATGGTGGGTACCTATGTAAGGCCAGTCAGGAAACCGGGGATACTTCTTTAGCTTTTCAGGAAATCAGGTCTGACATTTGCATTCACACAAATCCATGTATATTCCTGGCTTAAAGCTCCTGTGGAACCAGATAGACAGAAAGCTAATAGAGGTTAACTGGCAAGGAAAAACTCTGAAAGTCTGAAATAATCTCTGGGTTTCAGGAGAGCATGCCACATGAGTTGAAAACAACACTAATTTATTGTAGTCTGTTGCATGGAAGCAGGGGGCTCTTGAGTATCAATTAGAAGAAAGTGCTATTAGTTTTATTTACTCAGAGTGATTTTATCCTATCAACAATGAAGCTTATGGAATAAACACTTTATTTATGTAATGTATACTATTATTAGAAAAACTATTGGTTCATTAGCTCTTCTAAGAGGATGAAAGCTTGGATAGAATTTGTAATGTATGGTGGCTTTTAGATCCCCAAATGGCAATAGGATTAGTTTACCCTGCAGTGTTATACGTCACCATTACTATTCAGAGGAGACATTCCTATGGTGGATACTTGACTGGCAACAAGTGAATATGTCAAGTTAATTCCTGGAACAGGATTAATAACCCCACTGGCAACATCTCCCCTTTGTTGTACACTTTGCCGTGCATTACAGTTTAAGCAAACGCCATTTGAATGCTTTGGATCTTCTGTTTGCTTTAGAATGGTATGGCTCCCTTTGACTTTAGAAATGGTCCTTTCGTTTTCTTCCTCTGAATGTTGTTGATCATAGTCATCATGTATGTCAGCTCAAAACATGATATCAGGGGCTGTCAAATCCAGTGAAATAGAGTAATGTCTATTAATGAAGCTTAAAAATTATTGTAGGTGGCCGGGCATGGTGGCTCACGCCTGTAATCCCAGGACTTTGGGAGGCCAAGGCAGGCACATCATGAGGTCAGGAGATTGAGACCCATCCTGGCTAACACAGTAAAACCCCATCTCTACTAAAAATACAAAAAATTAGCTGGGCATGGTGGCAGGCACCTGTAGTTCCAGCTACTTGGAAGGCTGAGGCAGGAGAATGGCATGAACCCAGGAGGCAGAGCTTGCAGTGAGCCGAGATCACGCCACTGCACTCCAGCCTGGGCTACAGAGTGAGACTCTGTCTCAAAAAAAAAAAAAAAAAAAAAAATTATTGTAATTATTGTAGATTTTTTTCCAAGATGGCAGATTAGAGGCATTGCTAGCATACCTCTCACACTTGCAAGATCAAACTATTAATTATCACTACAATAACTATTGTTATTAGTACAATACAGAAGTTTACATTGTAAACTTTTTTTCAAGAAGAGAGACAGTAACTGAACAGGAAAAGCAAAGGAATCTAGGGATCCTTTGAAGGAAGCAGGAGGCTGCAGCCTACACTGTGAGTCAGGTGAAGGGCTTCAAGTCCATAGAGTGTGAGACGGAGAGAGTTTGCCTCTGGGATACACATCCCCACTAGGGACTCTGAAAGTTCAGGCCGGCCCTTACCCCACCCAGTGCAGGAATCAACTTTAGGAGTGCTGTGGAATATAAAAGTAGGAATAGCAGTGGGAAGACCCTTGCAATCACTCCCAGATCACAGTGCAGAACAAGGGCAGTCATTTCTTACTGCTCCTCACAGAGGATCCAGCAGAGGACAGCCAAAAAGTTCAGGCAGCATTTGGAAGTTGAAAGAAGCTCTCAGTGAGGTTTCACATTATAACCTCAGGTGGGGACAAATTCCCTTTTTCAGAGCTAGGGCAGGGGAGAGTGAAAAGAGGGCCATGAGTGCAGGAGTTGCAAGCGCAGGAGCCGTGGGAGAAAGATCCACAGGTACAGGATCTGCAGGTGAAAGATCCTGGTACCTGGCTTTACAGCAGCAGGGAGAGGTGTGTCCTGAAAGACACGATTACAATTTTCATGGGCAAAGCTTATGACTCCAGGCAGTGGTAAGTTCTGATACAGGCTGACTGGAACTCAGCTTGCTGCTGCCAGTGGAACACTGTGGGAATGGATTTACTTTCCCCAGTGTATAGAAACTGTGAGTTTTACCACCGTCTGCTATTGCCCACTCCCTGCACAAACTCTTCTGTACACCAGAGGCAGCAATGATGCCCCCTGAAACATTAATCCAGTGGCCTGAGGCCTGCTCCCATCCCCCAACACCAACAGAGGCTGCTGCTTGCCTTGCACAGAGTGCAAACCCACCCGACCCAGCCCCCACCTGGCTTTGCCCCACCACCTGCCTGATAGCTCATCATATAGGAGATAATCTCTTGGGAACTAAATGGCCCCACCCATTACCTGAGAAACCAGTGTATCCCCCAGGGGCAACATAAGGCAGGAAAAAATCCCACTGCTACTACTGCAGCTGGTGCTCTTTTGCAAGTGACACCTCCTGACTTGAGGCCAACCAACACAGTCCATTACAGTATCTCCTGGTAGAACAACACTGTGCCAGGGAAGGGCAAAACATTTGCAAAAATCTCAGTTATTACCACTGCCTGCACCACTATGGCTAACCTGGAGGTTCTGAGTCTGTCCACATGACCAGTTCATTACTACCATAACCAGTGTTCAACAACGCCAAAACACTAAGGACAACAATAACCAAGGAATTTCACAGAATCAACATCACTCCCCTGCCATCCCCAGTTAGAGGTGAGGCTGCTACCCACTGTTGGGAAACATGAGGACAGGTCACATCACCAGATCCCTTGCAGACATTCCTCAACACCAGCCCGAAGTGTGGCAACGTCACTGGGCAGCTAGACCCAGAGGAACAACATTCACAGTAGTCTGGCTCCAAGGGACTCCCACTCCTAAGGGAAGTGGGAGGGCACCACAGCAAGGGAATACTCCACGGGATGAAAGAATATGGACAGCAGGCCTCGAGTACCAGATCCTTCTACTGGTGGAAAGCTTTCTTCAGCAGAGACACAGTTGAAGTGCTGGACTCTGCAGGGAAAGTCTTGAGCTCTATCCCAAGAGTCAAACAGTGTTTGTGTGCATGAAGGGTCTTGGAGAAAAGGAAGTGTATCCTTCTTTTTCCACCACCATAGGCACAGTTGGAGCTTCTCCCATGGGAGCTCAGTGTGGGTGCAACTATAGAGAGTCTTTCTGGAACACATAAGGGTGACTGCATCTTCTCAGGAAGAGCACCCTCCAGGTTCAGGCTTCCACAAGAGACAGAGTCCTTGTCTATTGGGAACATAAACATTCCAAATTCCTCTCTATTTGGAACATAAACATTTGTACAGATGAACAGGTGCCTGTCCAATCTGAAAAGCTGGAGCATGGGACAAGGGTCATGTCTGAAAGGTGGATAACTTCCCTGTTGACCTCACAGGGGAGTTGAGGTGGCTCCAATCCTTACCCCTGATAAGTTCTCAGTGTGACTCACTGAGAGCTCCTCCAGCCACCTCTGTCAAGCCGTGGACTTCACTTACTCGCCTGATTTAGCTACATATGTGTGGTAGTATTAACAATATGTGTAATACAGGTAATGACTTCTGAGACTGAGAATTGGAAAACAGTCCCAAGGCTCAGAAGGGAATAAGAGTTTTTCCATAAAGAAAAAATAATGAAAGAGATGAACCAATTAGTCCTTACGTGAAAAAGAAAAGAAAAAAAACATGTGAGTAGTGAGAGAAGGCAACTAATATTTTCCTCTTACTCTTTCCTGAGGGCTCAAGTGTTCATCATGTGTGGGGGCCGTATTTGCCAACTATAATGTGAAGAGATTTCACATGTAATTTCAATTAATTCTAACAACAATTATGAACTTATGTCTATTATCATTTGAATTTTATAGATGAGAAAGCTAAGGCATTGAAGCCCATACAGCTAATAAAGGACAGCGCTGGGATGCCAGCTTTCAGAAGCTTTGCGGAGGTTGAACACAGATCAGAGGATATGAGATACTTGTGTTTCTAGGTAAGTTCTGGGAATGGTGATTCTGAGTCCAGCGTAAGCAAGCGAGACTGCCCCATGAGCTTCAGATGATGTGCTGGAGCTGAGACAAAGAGAAGCCCTATGTCCTCAGCACTAACAATACAGAGAAGCAGAGGGCTTTTAACACATTGGCATTTGGGCAAGTCAAAGTCACAGGGAGCGTTTTAAATTTCATATATCATTACTATCTTCCTACTGGTTACATATTATTATCTGATAATTAAAACATTAAAATGTACCTCTAGTGCTCACTGTGGGTAGTGGCACATCTGATGTGTCAGGATAGGGAACAACATGAAGAAAACGGAGACACAGAGACAAAAATATTCCTAAAAAGCCTCTAAGTACCATACTGTTTGCACCTTTTATTTCATTTAATGCTCAAAGATAAACACTAAAGCTAAAGAAAAAAACACTTATGAAATAATTATTATTAGCATAATTCAGATTTGAGATTTATTTTAACTTATAAAGGTTGAGAAAGTTTCCCAAAGCTTGTACGTGGCAAAGCCAGAATTACCTTTTGAGAAATAATAATCAAAATAAATGACAGTAAGATTGTATTGATATGAGTGATTATGGATTTTATTATTTCCCTTTTCTAAATTTTTAATACTGTGGTTAACTAACATTTACAGTGAAAAAGAGAAAAGCAAATATTAGATGTAGGTCTAAATAGAACGAGCAGCATTGGCAACAGCCACATCTTAACAAGTTACCAAATTCGTTTCCAGCTATAACTGGAAAGAAGAGATTATCACTCCACAGGAAATGAGTTTGTGAGCACCTGCTTACTGTCGCCATGGCAATTTGGAGATTTTTGACCTCCCTGAGATGCAGTGCTAAGTAAAATCTACCAAATCTATACTGGAAAAAAAATGTGTTTAATTCCTCCCCCTGTAACAGTCTCACAGTCAACAGGCCAGTTCTCCCTGGGAGGCACTTGCCTCACTCTTGATTAAGCTGAGGATGCCGAGAAGAGAAAAGTAAGACCTACTTTTGATTTACTTGAGCTGGGCAATAATGAAACTCTGGATTTGGGGGCATTGTCTTGGCCTAGCACTGACCAGCTTTGGGACCTTAGACAACTTTTCTAACCTGTTGGAACCTCAGTTTCCTCACCTGCTGCATGGGGAAGGTTCCTGTGACAAAGTTGCTGTTGTCTTAAGGACTCAAGGACACATTAGCATACATAGTGTTTAGCACTGTGCCAGGCCCTGAGAAAGTGCTTTATAAATGTGGCTGGTCCCATTATGGACTTTCATCATTTCTTCCACTCCTTTGACAAACATTGATTGGTTGTCAACTTTATGCTCAGAATGAGTCTAGATACTGGGAATACAACAAAGAATAAAACAGATAAAAATTACAGTGCTTATATGTTGGTGGAGGATGCACATAATTAATATTTAAAATAATACTATGTGGGTAATATGTTGGGTGGTTGTCAGTTGCTAAATAGAAATAAAAATGAGGAAGGGCAGTATGAAGTGTCAGTATGGAGACTTAAGTTTTTAGTTTGGGTGGCCAGGGACTTTTGAATCACTGAAAGAAGACTTTTGAGTAAAGGCAGTAAGATAGAGATAAGGGGTTATGCAGGTATCTGGGAGAAGATCATTTCAGGTAAACAGCAGAAGCAGAGGTCCTGAGTTGGGAACTTGCTCTAGCATGTTCTATGGATAAAAAGGAAGCTGCCTTGTTGAATTTGACTAAAGTGGGTAGGGGAGAAATAGGGAGCTCAGTTTAGAGACAAGAATTCAGGAATTGAGACCAGAAACAAACTTGGACCAGGGTGATGAAGCTGGAAACGTGGAGATGTGGTTCAATTTTCGATATCTTCTGAAGGTAGAGCTGACAGGATATGTTATAAAACAGCTTAATTGGGAGATATTTAAGAGCAAAGGCTCTGTGCTTGTTTGAATTCAGTACAGGGCCAGAAGTAATGACCCATTCGTGGTAGGCAGTTCTGAGATATTCAGTATTCTGAGATGGAATATTCCTTAATATCCCCTAAGTTAAGTCACATGGTTACTACTTGATTTTTCTTTGTAACCATAGAAAAATTCACTGGTTTTCAGGGAAATAAAATTCTATCCTTAAACAGTTCTTATCATGAGTGTAACCTGTCTCTCTGTAGCACTAAAAAAAGTAACTACCTGTAGGTCTATTTCAACTTTCCAATCCCAATGTCTTTTTGTATTTCTATTCACATATTGAACATAGACTATATCAAACTGATTATCGTTATCTACACATAGAATAATTCTTTAAGACGTCATTCAAAGCACCTATACACATGAAGAGGACAGTGTTGAGGACAAGGGCCTGGAGTAATGCTCCCGTGGTGGATTTCTACTGCAGCAAATGCCAACTGAATTTTTAGTATCAGTTTAGTCAGGATAAATCAACGTGCTACAAAATCACTTAAAAATAGCCAATTGTTTTCCTAGTTTTTTTCATAGGAACATAATATTGCTTTCTACTAGTTTCTGGAAATCCAGATATATTATGTATTTTGTATTTAATTAGTGATTCTTAAAAACCAAATGAATTTGACTTTTCACAATTTATTAAGTAAACGCACATTAGTTCCTAGTGATTGGAACTCACATTTTCTTCATCTGAGTGAAAGATTCTTGCAATCGATTAGTGCCAAAACAAGTTTTTCACTATTTTTACAAATTTTACTAAGATATAATTGACACATAATCAAATTCACCCTTTTTTGTATATAGTTCTCTAAGTTTTGACACATACACAGTTGTGTAACCAAAACCAGAGTAAGGTACAGAGCAATCGCACCAACCCCTCATTTCTCCTGAGTTCCTCTCTCTCTAAACCCACCTACTCCTGGCAATTGCTGATCCCTTTTTTGATCCTTAGTTATACCCTTTAAAAATGTCATATAAATGGAAACACACAATATTAGCTTTTTGAGACTAGCTTCCTTCACTTTTTGTAATGTATTTGAAATTCATCCATGTTGCTGCATATTATGAGTAATTTGTTTCTTTTCTTTGCTGAGTAGTTATTCATTTTATGGCTGAATCACAATCCGTTTAACCATTCCCGAGTAAAGGAACATTTTATTTTATTTTTTCAGTTTTTAGTAGTTGTGAAAAAAACTCATATAAAGATTCTCATACAGTTGTCTGTGTGTGTGTGAACATAGGTTTTACTCACTTCAATAAATAGGAGTAAGATTGCTGGCTTATTTAGTAAATATATGTTTAAATTTTTAAGAAACCGAAGCATAGTTTTTCAAAGTGGTTTTACTATGTTGCATTTCTATTGCCAATTTATGACCTTCCAGTTGCAAACAGAGTTGCCTTTTTTTAACCATTCTAATATATGTGTAATAGTATCTGATTATAGCCTTAAATCGTATTTACTAATGATCAATGTTACATTTTTATGTGTTTGTTTGCCAAACTGCATATCTTCTTTCAGAAATTGACTCTTCAAATATTTTGCCTGTTTTCTATTTGTTTGTATTCTTATTATTGATTTTTATGAATTTTTCTATATGACTATATGTCCTTTAACAAATATGTGATTTGTGAATATTTTCTCCCAGTCTGTCACTTCTCTTTTAATTCTGTTAACAGTGCCTTTCAAAGAGTAAAAATTCTTAATTTTTGTAGAGTCTAATTTCTCAATTTTATCTTTTATGAATTATGCTTTGACTACTGTACTTCTGTTACCTACCTCAAGGTCAAAAAGATTGTTCTACATATTTTTTTCTAGAAATTTTATAGTATTGTGTTTTACATTTTTATTTATAATATTTTGAGTTACATTTTTGTAGGCTGTAAGGCTTGGATTAAAGTTATTTTTGTTGTTGTTGTTGCCTCATATAGTGTATAGTGGGTATAAAATTGTCCTACCAAAATTTTTTGAAAAGACTATGCTTTAACCATTGATATGACATTGTACCTTGGTAAAAATCAGTTTACTATATATTTTGGGGTTTATTTTTACACTTCAATTCTGTTCAATTGATCTATATGCTGGTACCTTCATATTGTCTTCACAGTAATAATGGATATCAGGCAGTGTGCATCCTTCAACTTTGTTTCCTTTTTTAAAAAAAAAACATAATTGTTTTGGCACTTCTAGTTTCTTTGGATTTCTCTGTGTATTCTTAAATCAGCTTACTGATTTCAACCTTAATCCCTGTGGGGACACTGATTAAAATTCATTGAAATCATAAGTTTAGGATAATCAATATTTTAATAATACTAAATCTAAAAAAAAATGCGGACTTTGGGAGGCCAAGGCGGGTGGATTGCCTGAGCTAAGGAGTTCGAGACCAGCCTGGGCAACACGGTGAAACCCCTTCTCTACTAAAATACAAAAAATTAGCCAGGCGTGATGGCGGGCACCTGTAGTCCCAGCTACTCGGGAGGCTGAGGCAGGAGAATTGCTTGAACCGGGAAGGCAGAGGTTGCAGTCAGCCGAGATCGTGCCACCGCACTCCAGCCTGAGCGATAGAGTGAGACTCGGTCTCAAAAAAAAAAAAAATCATTATTATCTCATATATATTTATCTAATCTACTTGGATATTTCTTGAAACATTTTTGTAGTTTTCTGCGCATGGATCTTGCAGATATTTTGTAAGCTTTTCACCTCACTTGTTCATATATTTTGTTACATTGCAAGTGGTACTTAAAAACATTAATTACAGTTTTTCATTGGTAGGGTATAGAAATTAAATTGATATTTTATATTGACTTTATGGTTTGTGACATTTTTAAATTCACTTAAGTTGTTCTAGCAACATTTTTCTTTAGATGTTGTAGATAAAAAATCAATCATGTTGTTTATGAAAAGGGATATTCTTCTTTCCAATTTTTCAGTAGATATGCCTTTAGTTTTTTTATTCCCTTATTATATGGGCTAGAAATTCCCGTATGATTCTGAATAAGTGTAGTGAATATGGACAACCTTACCTTGTTTCTTATCTTAGCATATAGTATTGCAGCAGTAAGTATTATGTTAGTTGTATGGGTTAGCAAATGTTCTTTATCAAATAGAGAAAGTTTCCTTATACTTGGTTTTTGTTGAAAGTGTTTATCATAAATAAATGTTAATTTTTGTCAAATGCTTTTTCAACATCTACTAAAATGATCTTATTTTGTTCATTTTGTATACTGATATGATGAATTACAGTGATTGATTCTTGAATGTTGACATAGCCATGCATTTGGGGACAACTTTTACTTTCTTATGATGTATTATCATTTTCATATATTTTGGATTAAAGTTGCTAGTATTTTATTAAAGATGTTTACATCTATGTTCATGAAAGATAATGATCTCAGGTCCTCTTTGTAAGATCTTTGTCAGGTATTGGAATCTGAGTAATGCTGGATTCAGGAAATAAGTTGGAAAGTGCTCTCTGCTTTTTTATTTTATAAAAGTTATTTTCTGATATTTTTGCTTTTCTAGTTTTTAATTTTTGTGGGCACATAGCAGGTATATAAATTTATGGAACATACAAAATGTTTTGATACAGGCATGCAATGTGTCACAATCACATCATAAGAAATGAAGTATCCATCCCCTCAAGTATTTATTCTTTGCATCACAAAAATCCAGTTATACTCTTGCTTAAAGTACTCTTTTAGTTCTTTTTAAATGTACAACAGAATTATTATTGCACTTTAATAATTAATTTTTAATTAAATAATGAAATTAAATACTTAATTTAATAAATAAATTAAAGTTTATTTTGCTATCCAATACTAAATCTTATTCATTTTATCTAACTATTTTGTTATGTAACCATTAAACATCCCCACCTCCCTGCCAGCAACACACTACCCTTCCCAGCCTCTGGTAATTATCCTTCTACTCTCTATGTCCATGAGTTCAGTTGTATTAATTTTTAGATCCCACAAGTAAGGGAGAACATGCAATGTTTGTCTTTCTGTGCCTGGCTTATTTCATTTAACATAATTACCTCAGGTTGATCCATTTTGATGCAAATAGGATCTCATTTTGCATGGCCTAATAGTACTTCATTGTGTATGTATACACCACTTTTTAAATCCATTCATCTGTTGATGGACACAGGTTGCTTTCAAATCTTAGCTATTGTAAACAGTGCTGCAACAAATATGGGAGTGCAGATATCTCCTGGTTATACTGATTTCCTTTCTTTAGGTATATATTCAGCAAATAAAAGGCAAAATTGCAAAATAAAATGTAAAAGTATTTTAATTTCTTTTCCCCCAGTTTAGAATGAATACACAAATAAATGCACAATTTAAAAAATAATTTTCTGCCACTGGTATTATAAGAAAAATAAAATTATATTATCGGCATGCTTCAAGTAAAACTATTGAACTTAATTTATGAAGATAGAATCTTAGGAAAGTCAAAAATTGCTTTAGCTGATGCAAAATGTTGCCCCAGTGCTGTTAGAAAAAGATTGTATAAGGCTTTCTACCTTGTACTTGCCTTAGTGGAAAGAGGCAAGCTCTCTTCTGTGTAGGTTCTAGAGCAAATCTGTAGTTCTTAACCTTGGTTTCTCATTGAAATTACAGGTTTAAAAATATTTATCTCAGAGTTGCACCCTGCAGTAGTCAAAACTTTAAGTTGATTCCTGTATTCTTTACCTCTTTGTGTACACAAACTGTAATCATCTATTCTCCTTGAATTTAGGTGAGACCTATGAATATGGTAGAATGTGACTCTTGTTATTAAGTTACATTACATGGCAAGAGTAAAGATATTTTGTAGATGTAATAAAAGCCCTAGTTAATTTATCTTGTGTTAATAAATAAGGAGCTGTCCTTAGTATATCTGATTTAATGAAGTGAGCCTTTTAAAAGAGGTTCTGTAGATCATATACAGAAGAAGTAAGAGTTAAAAGTAGTATATATGTTGTCCTTTTGGCCTTGAAGAAACAGACTGCTGTGTTGTGGAACCAGAACCGGGCACAAAGTGGCTAGCCTCTAAGACCTGAGGGTCTCAGTCCAGCAACCACCCAGAACTGAATTTGACCAACAACCACTGAGCTTGGAAGAGGACTCTGAAACTCAGATGAGATCAGAGCTCTCTGGTTGGCACATTGACTTCAGCCTGTTGAGACCTTGACCAGAGAAACCAATTAACCCATGCCCCAATCATGGAAACTGTGATATTACGTATTTATGTTGTTTTTGTGCTCTAAGTTTGTGGTAATTTGGTATGTAGCAGTCTATAACCAATGCACAGTCCCAGACTGATTGAATTGACATGAAATGAGGCGTGAGAATCACATTTTTTTTTTTTTGACTCGGAGTCTCTCTCTGATGCCCAGGCTGGAGTGCAGTGGTGCAATCTTCGGCTCACTGCAACCTCCACCTCCAGGGTTCAAGCAAGAGAATAACATTTTTAAAAAGTTCTAAATAGTCTAGGCCAGTGGCCTGGACCTTGGCTGCATATTAGAATAAATACAGAATAAATGCAGCCAAGGTCAAGACAGACCACTAGCCTAGACTATTTATATACACTTCCCATTTAAATCATGGAAAAGAGATATTTTTTTCATATCATGCTCTATACAGCTTAAATTTTTAGATTTTTAATTATAAATTGATCATTTATAATTGTATCAGTTTATGGGATATAAAGTGATGCTATGATTTATGAATAAAATGAAGCTTAAATTTATAAATAAACTCTGCCTTATGGTAGAATTGCCATCACTGTAGTTAATCATTTCAAATAGCAATTTTTAAATATCTCTTTGATTTTTGACAGATAGAATGATACTTTAGGCATCAGAATTATCTTAAGAAAATATATAATAAATATATACATGTGTCAGCAATTATTTTCCAGCATTGAATGAGAGAAAGTCAAGAGACCTCAGCTGGATTTTTTATGCTTACATAGTAGAAAAAAATATAATGGGCCTCTTTCACGAACAGAATAGCAACATCACTGCTAGCTGCTTATAAAACAACTTTTAAAAATTTATTTCCAACTTTCAAATAAACTAAGTGAGAATTGAGTTTTTGTATTCAAATATAAAATTGTAAAACATGATTCATCCTAAATTGCAAATCTGTTCTTGTGACAGTCTTCCATGGAAATTCAGCAACAGAATATCTTACTTCTCCATGACCATTACAGTTCTTAAATTATATCTTTAACTGGGCTGTAACATCACTCCTCCAAATAACATAGAACAGTGATTCTCAGTTTGTTTCTGAGATCAGCAATATCAGTATCACTTAGGAACTTGTCAGAAATGCAGATTGTGCAGCTCTAGCCTAACTCTATTGAATCATAAACTCTGGGGATAGAATAGGCCAAAATATGTTATTACAAGGCCTCCAGGTAATTCTGATGCATGTAAAAGTTGAGAAATATTAACATATAACAAACAGGTTGACATATGTTTACACTCACACCCTAGAAAACTTTTTGCCTTGGCGAGGGTCTAAATACAAATCTGGAAATTAGTCTATCTACTGCTGTTTCTAAACCAGAGTCAAACAAACTTGTAAAGAAAACTCCTAAACAAGTCAGGACCACAAGACCATTACATGATACTTTGAATAGTCTTTGACTTATATTATATTCTTAGCTTCTCATTCATTCTACAAGTAAGTAGCCAAGATCATATACCATGCATTTTCTTTATCTGAAGTTATAATAGTGTTACTCTTGATATAAATATCTGCATAGAATTCTAAAGAAATCTACAAAGGTAAGAAGAAAGACATATTCCTATCAGCCTGCTGTCTTCTAGGAGTCCATTTCTCCACTTTCTGTCAACAACACTCTTCATTTCCTATTCCAAATTTCCCATCTTCATGCTATTCATGTCTCTATTTCCTTCTGCTTCTGCTTCTGCTTCATGCACCTCATGTCACCTCACATTACTGTAATTTTTCTTACAATTTACAATTTTCTTACAATCTGCCTCCTCTTCCTTTTAATGGCAAGATGACTCGCTCATCTTTTTAGGATTACTTGTATAGACAACCCAAATTCTTTAGAAAATTCTTTAGAAAACAGACCCTGTAGTCCAAATTCTTTAGAAAACAGACCCTGTAGCAAAGATTAACACTAACATTTTACTGGTGATGAACTGAGTGTGTAAATTTCTAGGGGAGGAAGGATTCATAAAAGAAAATTGAGGCAAGAAAGAAAGCAAATATAAGATAGAATGTTATCAAGTTGACCACAGATTCAGGAGAAAACATAATTGTTCCATGGACTATGACCATGTGGCTATATGGAGCCATTGCACCTTGGATTAGTATGTAGGAAGAAGAAAAGCAGTGGAATTTATCTAACAAAACCTGCTTCTTTACTGTATCACACTGGTTCAAGCTTGGCACAAAAAGCATTAACTCCGTAAACCTACAGGTGGTCATATTGAGATTATTCAGGCAACCATCAGAAAAGCGAAATTCCCCCAAATCTTTAAAACGGCAACAGGGATGGGGACATATACATATAGGTACAAGAGAATCTGGGGAGGTGCACAAACTAGATCAACCAATTGTACCCCTCCTATCTAATTGCACACTGAGAGTGGAAATGAAAATCAAATTATTTCCAGTTTTAAACACCTAAAAAGTTATAAAAGCTTTTATGACTGTTGCTGTACTTGTTCCTGAGGCTGCAATAAATATTTTTTTCTCCTTCATCAGCATTCCATATTTCTATCACTCTCTTCAAACATTTACTCTTCTTTAGGATGCTTGCCTAGCAGGGTGAACCAGAAATTCATCCTGAAGGGCTAAGCTCTTAGCAATCTTGCCTTTGATGGGCTAGCATTGTTAAAATTGCCCATTTTATACCAATCTCTATGCATGTAAACATTACGAGATGCCCCAGTCAAACCTCTAGGTGAGACATATATTCCTTCCTGTTCTAATTGTGCAGTAGCATTCTTGCTCTTCACAGTTAATGTCATAGAGCGTTTCCTCTCAAAATCATGGCTTCCAGCCAGTCAGAGCCTAAAATTGTGAGACAGTAATGACAAATTGCACAACTGGATCTGTTAGCGTGATGATGAGATGAGCGTATCTTATATCCCACCTTTATTCCCAAACCGTTGTATTCTACCTATTAGAGCTACACCATCATATAATAACATGCATGTTGAGGATGTATATAGCACTTCATGGGTACTGCTATTCATATTTCTGGTGATTAGAAGTCTGCCAGTTTGAGTGGTTTCCAGTGCAAAATAAGGCTCTGATTAACTGCAGAGTGAGATAAAAGCTGCCCTGCCACTTTGGGCAGTATATGTGCTAATGATTCACATTGGGCAGTATATGTGCTAATGATTTGGGCAGTGTATGTGCTAATGACGTGACAGTATATGTGCTAATGATTCTAGCACGTCAAGGATACGTTGTAGAGTCTCTAGCAGGCCCCAGTAAGAGAGTCACAAAACAGACCACCAGTGGCCACTTAAATTTAAAATAATCATAAAACCAAGCAAAAATAATTCACTCAACAAAATTAATTAAATTAATTAAAAATACAATTCCTCAGTCTCACAACCTACATATCAAATGCTCAATAGCCACATGTGACTAGTGGCCACTATATTGGGCAGTGTAGCTATAAACTATTTTTATCATTACAGAAAGTTCTATTGGACAGCCTTGCTCTACATAATGAAAAAAAAAATCTTCTTTAAGTAAGTGACCAATTGTGTGGCTATTGTATCTTAACAAAGACTGAGCACCTGATCATAGGACACCAAGCTACCAAGTGATGAGAGCTGCTCATTATGAAGTGGGTGTTTTCACGTCCACTGAGTTTTAAATTGAGGCTGAGTAAATAAAAAGATTGTAAATTTGGTCCAGAAAAAGAAAAAAAAGAAGTAAGAGCAAAAGAAGTTAACAGTTAGAAAAGTATAGAATATTAGCAACGGAAAGGATCTTTGAGAATGTATTGGTCAGCTTCACCAATAACTTGCAGAGCTCTTCAAGGTGTACAAAGATTGAAAGGGAGAGAAAATCTAAAATTCAGCTGATATCACGATGGGATTAATTCAAAGTCATTTCCTAAGCATCTTTCCACAAAAGCATGTAGCCACATTTAAAGGCAGAGAAAGTGAATCAAAATCTGGAAAGCACCATGCTACCATGAGAAGAGCAGTATTCACAATTCATATAACACACCTCCCAATCTTTCAAATAGTGCTAGGAAGGAAGTTTCTAATGAGGTAATAAAGCATATGCTATGGGTTGAATATGTGCCCGAAACGGAAACTTAATCCTCCAAGCAACACTGTTGAAACGTGGGCCCTTTAAGAGGTGGTTAGGTCATGAGGGAGGGCTCTGCCCTCAGGAATGGATTAATGCCATAAACATAGGAGTGTGTTGGTTATCACAAGAGTGAGTTCCTGATAAAGAATGAATTTCCTGTGCTCCTATACATTAAACAAGAATTTTGAAAGCTTTAACACTTAACAGAAAGTTGAACTCTATGTAGAAAACACTTTATATATCCAATTATCCTTCTGAAGCAATGTTTCTCTGAAGCTTCCACTTCTGATCAAATTTGATTTTGAACCTTTTCCTTGTGACCAATTGTGTAAGCCAACAAATACCTCTCTGTGTTTAGTATTTTGTCATTAGGTGTTAAATTTTCTCCTTTAGGGGGTAATCTTATCTGTATTTTTTCAAAGTTTCTTGTGTCCTTCAAATTTTTTTCATGGAATACCTTAAATTTTCACTCCCCTTGTCTTCACACCCACAGCCTTGCAGTGATTAGCAATGGAAGGTCTACTGGAATTTGTTTTATTATTCTACCTGCAGGTAATTTGTTGTGCATGGTATTCTTTGTCTTCTAATAATGCTGAAGACGTGTATTATGTGTAGTTTTATTTGTTCTCCTTGATGATGTTATTTTATTTTATTTATTTATCTTTTGAGACGAAGTCTCATTCTGTTGCCCAGGCTGGAGTGCAGTGGTGCGATCTCGGCTCACTGAAACCTCCACCTCCTAGGTTCAAGCGATTCTTCTTCCTCAGTCTCCCCAGTAGCTGGGACTACAAGTGCACAGCACCATGCCCAGCTAATTTTCTTTTGTATTTTTAGTAGAGACAGGGTTTCACCATATTGGCCAGGCTGGTCTCCAGGCTGGTCTCAAACTGGACCTCATGATCCACCCGCCTCAGCCTCCCAAAGTGCTGGGATTACAGGCTTGAGCCACTGTGCCCGGCCTATATTTTTATTTTGTTTTGTTTTATGTGGAGGATGTGTGGGTAAAATCAATATCATGTGAGTATCATTAAACTCCAAATCCATGGTATACCATATCTGAAAATTTTTTTATTGACCCAGAACACCTGAAATCAAAACCCAAATCTCTCTGTGTATTCCAAATCTGCTTCTCATCTCCTGCTTTCCATTTCTATGCATATCTTTCTGATGTAGGCATTTGTTATAAACATTCATGTTAGTAATATTTTTTTCTGCATTCCAAAAGTTTGGGTATGTTGTGTCTCTATTTTCATTCATTTCTTAAGAAATTTCTGCCTTGATTTTGTTCTTTACCCAAAAGTCATTCAGGAGAATGTTGTTTAGCTTCCAAATATTTCTATAGCTTTGTAAATTCCTCTCGGTATTCATTTCTAATTTTATTCCACTGTGATCTGAGAAAATACTTAATATAATTTTGATTTTTTGAAGTTACTGAGATTTGCTTTATGGCCAAGCATATGCTCAATTTTGGAGAATGTTTTATGTGCAGATAAGAAAAGTGAATATTCTGCAGTTGTTGGGTAGAATGTTCTGTAAATATCTATTGGGTCAATTTGGGTTGGAGCCCAGCTTATGTCCAGAATTTCTTCATTGGCTTTCTGCCTCAACGACCTGTTAGTATTGTCAGTAGGGTGTTGAATTCTCCCACTGTTATTATATTGGTATCAATCTCTTTTCTTTGATTTAGTGGTATTTGTTTTATGAATCTGGGTGCTCCAGTGTTGGGTGCATATATATTTAGGACAAGACAGGTAAATCATCTTGTTGTATTGAACCAATTATCATTATATAATGCCTTTCCTTTTCTTTTACTGTTGTTAAAGTCTATTTTATCTGATACAAGAATGGCTACTGCTGCTTGCTTTCATTTTCCATTTGTGTGATATATCTTTTCCTACTCCTTTACTTTGAGTCTGTAGATATCTTTAGCTATTATGTAGGTCTCTTATAGGCAAGAGATGGTAAGATCTTGTTTTTTTATCCAACTTGCCAGTCTTATATTTTAAGTGGAGCATTTAGGCCATCAACGTTCAATGTTAATGTTGGTATCTGAGGTTTTGTTCCTGTCATAGTGTCGTTAGCTAGTTGCCCTGGGCTCTCAATTGTGTAATTGCTTTATAGGATCTGTGAGTTTTCTACTTACATGTTTACTTTTATGTTGGGGAGTGGTGTCTTTCATTTCCATGCTTAGAACTCCTTTGAGCGTTTCTTACAGGTTTGATGTAGTGGTGATGAATTCCCATAGTGTTTGCTTGTCTGAAAAGACTTTATTTCTACATTTATGAAACTTAGTATGACAAGATATGAAATACTTGGCCAGCATTTTTTTTCTTTAAAGCCTAAAAATTGGCCTCTAATGTCTTCTGGCTTGTAAAATTTCTACTGAGGTGTCTCTTGTTAAAGTGATGGGATTTCCTTTATACGTGATTTGATGCTTCTCTCTAGTTGCTTTTAAGATTTGTTCTTTCATGTTGACCTTGGAGAGTTTGATGATTACATGTCTTGGTAATGTTCATCTTGTATAGTATCTTCTAGGTGCTTTCTGGATTTATTG
Source organism: Homo sapiens (assembly GCF_000001405.40). Classification (NCBI taxonomy): domain Eukaryota; kingdom Metazoa; phylum Chordata; class Mammalia; order Primates; family Hominidae; genus Homo; species Homo sapiens. Next base: position 35,380,266 of record NC_000023.11, read on the forward strand.
TAACTGGATATCCACATCCCTAGCAAGATTGGAGAAATTTTCTTAAATTATTGTCTCAAATATGCTTTCCAAACTTCTTGCTTTTTCTTCTTCTTCCTCAGGAATGTCCACATGTCTAAGTTTTGGTCACTTTACATAATCCCATATTTCTTGAAATCTTTGTTAATTTTTTTAATTCTTTTATCTGATTTAGTTAATTCCAAAGACCAGTCTTAAATCTGTGAAATTTTTCTTCTGTTTGGTCTAGTGTCTTGTTAAAGCTTCCAACTGTGTTTTGAAATTTCTTCTGTGAATTATTCATTTCTAGTAGTTTTGGTTTTTAATAAATAATCTCCTTTTTCTTCTCCAAATTTTTTTGTTTCTTGTGTTGGTTTTCAACTTTCTCTTAGATCTCATTGAGTGTCTTTAAAATATATATTTTGAATTCTTTTTCAATCATTTCAAAGTTTTCATTTTGTTTAGGATCCATCGTTAAAGAGCTAATGTGGTCCGTCGGTGGTATCACAACATTCTTTCTTCGTAATGCTGGAGTTCTTGTGCTTGTTCTTCCTCATCTGTAGAAGCTGTCACTTCTTATTTTTGAATTTCCTTTCATTTAGATGGGATTTTCCTGCCTTGAGGATGTGATTGTAGAATATGTTATGTAGGGTCTTTTGGCTTTGCTTTTATATCCCTGGGCATTTTTTCTTGTGAAGATTTCTATAGGGCTGTGCAGTTTGACCTACAGGCCAGTAGGTGGCACTTATGGCTAAAAGCCAGCTGTAGCAAAAGCAGATGGGTAGGTACTTGATCTTTGTTTAGTGTATGGTCATTTGTGTTGTTTCAAGTGATGAGCTGGACAGTGGAAAATCCGATCCCCTGAACTTCTTGTTCAGCAAATGGAGAGGACACAGCTTTGAAGAGCTGTACTGCATGGCTTGCTCACAAATACCCCCAATGATAAGGATGGACACCAACACTGATAGGAGTGGCTAGGGGAGTTCCTGATGACATGCCCTGAGGTTTCTGTGGGGAATAAGGTGCTTGCACCAGCTCCACTTCCTAAACAGGCAGGAATCTGATCTATTTCTCCATCATACTCCTGCCCCAGGGCTTGTAACTCTCAGTTCAGATGCACACTGTTATCTCCAGGCCACAGTGCTGCTGAGAGCCAGGGAAGACGCTTGTCTGATGATTCTCCACAGGAGTGATTTTAGGGTGGAACCTCATCACTCAGACCAGTACAAATAGCTCTGTGGCTTGCTTGTTCTCTAATGTGGTAATGCTGCTGCTTTGTGTACGGATGGGGAGGGAATCCACCTTTTGGCACATTTGTAACCGCTCAATGGGTTCACCTTGTCTGCTGCCTAGACAGAACTGATTTATCAAGACAGGGGAATTGCAATAGAGAAAGAGTAATTCACGCAGAGCTGGCTGTGCGGGAGACCAGAGTTTTATTATTACTCAAATCAGTCTCCCGGAGCATTCGGAGATCAGAGTTTTTAAAGATAATTTGGCGGGTAGGAGCTTGGGAAGTGTGGAGTGCTGGTTGGTCAGGTTGAAGATGGAATCATAGGGGGTTGAAGTGAGGTTTTCTTGCTGTTTTCTATTCCTAGGTGGAATGGCAGAACTGGTTGAGTCAGATTACAATCTGGGTGGTCCACTGGACAGGTGATCCAGTCCAGTGCAGGGTCTGCAAAATATCTCAAGCACTGATCTTAGGTTTTACAATAGTGATGTTATCCCCAGGAGCAATCTGGGGAAGTTCAGACTTTTGGAGCCAGAGGCTGCATGACCCCTAAACTGTAATTTCTAATCTTGTGGCTAATTTGTTAGTCCTGCAAAGGTAGACTGGTCCCCAGGCAAGAAGGGGGTCTTTTAGGGAAAGGGCTATTATCAATTTTGTTTCAGAGTCAAACCATTAACTGAATTCCTTCTTAAAATTAGTTCTATGCCCAGGAATGAACAAGGACAGCTTAAACGTTAGAAGCAAGACGGAGTGGGTTAGGTCTCATTTCTTTCACTGTCATAATTTCCTAAGTTATGTTTGCAAAAGTGGTTTCACATTCAGGTGAGTGTCAGATGTTGAGTGTGTTGGCTGGTTGGGTTGGCCTGAGTTCAGGCCCCACAGGGAGTAGTCAGATGCTGGCGGTGGTGGACTAGGCTAGGCAAACCTTCCATCCTCAGGCCTCTGGATGGGATGTACAAGATGTACAAGTCCTAAGGGGACTAAACCAGGAATGGGCCAGTACACTTGTTCTTGGATCCCCAGAATTCACATGCTGGCTGAAAGGAGTGGGCTGATCCATGGGTCACCATCAGAACTTTCAGGCAGGAGCAGGCAGAACGCTCAGGCAGTGGCAGAATAGTGGGAGCCCCAGGGCAGATCACAGGCCTGTGGGGGTTGGGCTGTCAGAAGGACTCTGGGCAGCAGCTGAAATGGTCAGGTGGGAACAGGCTGGCTTTGCTGTTAACTTTTCACTGGAGGAATCAGGCCCCCTCAGCTAGAGCAATGGAGGCTGACAGCTGTGGGATGCATGGTCCACTTGAATTTTCCTCCCACAGGAGCAGCAGTAAATTTTGCTGCTGGGGACACACAAAATTGCCCAGCCTTTCTGCTCCTCCCCCAACCCAGGTTCAGGGGTGACAGGAGTGGCTGCAGTGGTGGTGGGTGGTGGTGATGGCAACTGCTATAGGAGCCAAAGGGTGGGTCACTGGCTTCAGAGGTCCTGGCTTTCAGTAGAATATCGGGCTGCAGCCAATATGTACATACAGGGGCAGGGCAGCTGCACTGCAGAACCGTGCTGAAGAAGGGAGGCCTATTTTTCAAGGAGCACCTGAGGCAGGCAGTCATTGCAGTGCATGGCCCACCCACTCCTCTCTACTGCAGCTGTTGTATCTGTCTTTGGGGCATGCAAAAGTGTCTGGCCTGTCTGCTCCCTCCCTGATCCAGCTGCAGCAGCCGGCACCAGGCTTCTCAGCATTCCAAAGCCTGCGGAATTCTAGGTAGGCTTGAGCAGTACCTATGCACTGTCTCCAGGCAGCACCCTGTATTAGACTAAAGGCCTGGGAGGAGTAGAGGGGGATCTCCCATGGCTAGGATTGTACAAGTCCATGGCAGAATTGTGGAACCCCAGGGGTCTCTCACTCACCACTTCTCTGTATCAGGAATCTTCTCTTGGCTCCATGCCAGTCCCAGCTCAGCTGGCTGTACAGCTTTGCTCCTCTCTGCTTTCTATGATTCCTATCACTTCTTTAATGGATTCCAGTGTGCCCTCTTAGGTGATCTACTCAAGTGTTAATATTTACTCACTATTTTGAATTCTGTCTGTGTGGGAGGCTCCCACTATCTGGTTCTATTCAGCCATCTTGAACCGGAACCTCAGAATTGAGTTTTTACATACACTAATCGCATGATCTATTAATAAACACATTATTAGTTGGACTTCATTAAAATTAAAAATATGTTATGCAAAAGACCCCGTCAAGAGGATGAAATAATAAGACACAGACTGAAAGAAAATATGTGCCATACATAAATTTGATACAGAACTTGTACTTAAAACATATAAATAACTCTTAAAACTCAACAATAAGAAAACAATCAACCCTACTAAAATTGGGTTCTAAGAAGACACCACACTACAGAAGATATATATATGACAATTAAGCATATGAAAGATGTTCAACAACATACTTCATTAGGGAATTGCAAATTAAAATGACAATGCTATCACTATACGTTTATTAAAAGAACTAAAATCTTAAACACTGACAACATCAACTAGTGGCAACAAAGTGAAACAAGAGGAACTGTAACTCTTTTGCTGGTTGTAATGCATAATGGTACAGCAACTTTGGAAGACAATTTGGCAATTTCTTATAAAGCTAACCATAGTCTTACCATATGATCCAGAATTCATGATCCTAAGTGTGTACCTAAATGAGTTTTACTTCTTTTTGGATATGAATGCCTTTTTATTTCTTTTTCTTGCCTGATTGCCTTGGCTAGAACCTATAAGCACAATGTTTATTAGAAATGGTGAGGGTGGACATTATTGTCTTGTTCTTAATCTTAGAAGAAACATATTCATTTCATCATTTCTTAAAATATGAAATGCTATACTTTATTTTTCCAGAAAGTATATCTAAGAATATCTGTGAAGAGTAATTTAGAGAGAAAGATTCTTCTAGGTTTCCTTAAAACTCTTCAGTACATGCTATCCATAAGTAGTGACATTTTTATAATTTTTATTTTTTCAGTCTTTCACCATTAAGTATGATGTTAGCTGTAGCCTTTTTAGTAAATTTTTAAAATCAGGTTGAGGAAGTTCCCTTCCATTTCCAGTTTTCTGGAAGTTTTTTTTTTTTTTTTAAATCAGGAATAGATGTTGGATTTTTTTCAAATACTTTTTCTTTATTTATTGAAATAATATTTTTAAGTCTATTAATATGGTCAATGACATTGACTGATACTTGAATTTTGAATATGTCATGAAGTCCTAAATGGTTGTGATATATTATGCTTCTTACATGTTGGTGCATTCAGTTTTCTAAAATTGTGAGCAATATTGATCTTCGGTTCTCTTCATGTGTAATTTCTCTGTCTGGTTTTGGTATAGTAATGCTGACTTCATAGAATGATGTGAAATATTTGCTTACCTTCTCTTTTCTAGAATAATTTGTGTAGAATTGGTATAGTTTCTTCCTAAAACATTTGCTGAAATTTACCATTGAAGCCATCTGCCCCTGAAATTCAATTTGTGGGAAGGATTCTAACTACAAAATCTGTTTATTAAATACAGTGATATTTAGGTTGTCTATGTCTTCTTTAATTACTTTTGATATTGTCTTTCAAGGAATTTTCCCATTGTCAACTAAGTTGTCAAATTTATTGGCATACAGTTGTATTTAATATGCATTTATGCCATTTTACAATTCATCAAATTTACAGTGATGTCTACTCTCTCATTCCTAACTTTCATAATTTATACCCTTACTCTTTTCTTCTTGATAACTTTGGCTAGAGATTTATCAATTTTATATATCTTCTCAAAAAATTGGTTTTACTTGCAATGACTTTTTTTCTATTCATTTTCTGTCTTATACTTTATTTATTTTCATTTTGATTTTTGTTATTTTCTTTCTTATAATTACTTTGGGCTTATTAACTCTTCTAGTTTTTAAGTTGGAAGATGGGTCATTGACTTGAGACCTTTATAGTTTCATCAGCTAGGCATTTAATGCTACAAACTTTCCTCTAAGAACTGCTTTAACTTCTTGGATGTGCGGGTTTATAATTTTCATCAAATTTACAAAAATTAAGTTTCTTAAAGCTGTTTCACTATTCAATTATATTTTTATGTCTTTCGTTTTCCCTCTGTGTTTCACTTTGAATAATGTCCATCATTATGTCTTTAGGGTCATTAATAGTTTCTTCTGCAATGTCTAATTTCCTGTTATTCCTATTCAATGTATTTTTTTTATCTCATACATATTCATCTTTTTATGTAGAAGTTCAATTTGGGACTTTTATAATCTTCCATGTCTCTTCTTAAAATGATCAATCTGTCTTCTGGAATTTCATATATGAAATGGAAATATAACAACTGCTATAATGGCTTTGCCTGTCTTCTAATTTTATTATCTATGCTGTTTCTGAGTCTGTTTCAATTAAGGAATTTTCCTCCTAATTACAGGTAATATTTGCCTTTTGCTTTGCATACATGCTAGATATGTTTGTATTTGTGTAAGTATTTTTGATTTTTATCATGGATGCTATTAAAATACTTGAAAAAAAATCTATTTAGGCCTTGATTTCAAGGTTTTTAGCTGGACCAAAAGAACTATTGGTTTATAGCTCATTTTAACCCCAACTGGGGCAAGACATTTTTGAATACTCTATCCAACACCCCATGAATTATGAAGATTTCTACTCTGGCTGATAGGAATGGGAGCTCTTCCTGGTCCTGTTTAGCTCCAGCAGTTATATCTCTTTAACTCAAAAAGGTCAAGGAGCTCCACACTGCTTACTGATTATGTCTTTCCCAGGAACTATAACATAATCTATTTACTTACTTGGTTATATCATTGCCCCAAGAATTTGAAAAAACATCATTCATTCTAATTAATGTTGACTTAGAGAATAAATGTCATGGGGAACAACTTACACAGTATGTTCAAACAAAAGTGATTTACCACTACTGCCAAATGGCAAGAGCAAGACTAGAAAACCTGAGGTCTTGCCATTGCCAGTGTTTGATTTTATTTCCTCCACTAATACCCAGCCATAGCTGGAAAGGACCACTGTATTTTTATATCAAGCATTTCTAGAATGTAAAGGACTGGTATTTCCTGGCTAGTATGGGCTCTCTGGCCAGGAACACAGAAGATCAAAAAGTGACATTAAAGCCATATGGTTAGACATTAAGAACCTGTTGGAATTTTCTAGGCAGTGAGTGAGGTTTTCTCAATGTTCTTCATCAATACACTAGTTACTAAGGTTCACAAGAATCCTATGGAGAACATTCTGTCAAAGCTGACACCTTGGATAGTGTGACTTCCAACAGATGGGAATAGTACTGGGCTCATATATTGGCTATTGCATTTCCTGGTTTTAACTATATCACTGAATACATTAGGTTACTTGCATAAAGCTATACAGAAATGAAGAAAAACAGAAAACTAGCAAATTTCTGGCAACATATTTAGTTATAAATTGAGATTTCAATAGAGTTTTCAAGCCAATTTCTATTTTCAGATGTACAAACTTAGTCAATGGGTATTATATTCATCACTGCTGACAAGAACAAGAAACTCTCACTGCTCATGGTCTCACTTCATGTGACACAATGTTAATAGGCATGAGAGGAGCACTGCCCAGAGAGAGGGCAGACCCACTAGGGTTTATGGTCCAGTCAGAGTCCTTACATGGAAACTTATGGTAAGAGGAAAAAAAAACTCAGAATTAAACAATATGGATAGTTCATTGTTTATATTTGTTTCAGCAAAATTCTGAATGATACAAGTGAACAAATTATGAAATATTCATTGTTATTTCAAAATGTATATACTTAATTAGAATGGAGTATTTTGCTAAGTGAACTGACCCATCACGATACATTTTCTCAACTTATAAAAAATAATTTTTTAATTGAACTTGGCTTCCCTGTTTATTTCATTTAATATTCCTTTGATATTTTTGGAGAAAGTTCCTTTAGGAGCTAGTGAAACTACCTTTGCAAACATTATGTCAGTGAGAAAATGACAGTAGTAGGGGAGATATGATCTATCCCAACCCCCTCTTGCCTTTAGTTTCCAAGCTGCCTTAATTATCCCTGGGCTTAGGCAGAGCTAACTTCGGGAGACATTTAGGTATAGTGTAAACAATAATAGCCCTACTGCAAAACTCAACCACTTTTATAAAGCTTAGGAGAGACCACGAGGCCAGGGGGAGGAGAGGAGCCTGAATTCTGCTAAGGTGTAGACATAAACAATTACCAGTCATTATTCTGGAAATCCTGCAGATAACACCACGAATGTAGATTGACCTTTTGAGATATCTTTTCAAGTTTTTTGCATGTTTGACACCCATGACTCCACCTGGACCCACCAATCTATGGCTCCTATGACCTCACTGGGAAGCAACTCAGTGCAAGAGGACAGCTTCAACTCCCCATGATTTCATCTCTGACCCAACCAATCAGGTGCAAGCACTTATTACCTGGCCACACCCACCCATTCTCCAAACTGCCTTTGAAAAACCGCTAACCTATGGAGCCTTCATGGAGATTGATTTGAGTGATCATTCCATCTCCCACGTAGCATGGTGGACCTCACGTCAATTAAACTCTTTCTTTATTGCAATGCTGTGCTCTTTATTTGTGCAGTGGGCAGGAAGAACCCATGAAGCAGTTACACTAGGATATTTGGGTATTATTCCACAGTCAAAGAAATCCCTGTTCAAGCTTTTTTTTCTATCATTTACTAGCAGTGTGAGTTTGGGTCTCAGTTCATTTATCTGTAATGTGGTGATGAAAATAATATCTCACTCATAAGCCTAATTACATTGTGGCTCTAAACTGGTATTATTTTAGTGCTAATTGATCCATTCATCACCCTCCCGCATGGAACTGTGTTGCACACAAAATTACTTTAAATATTTTACCTTTCTTGACTCAAGGCACTGAGTTACTGGTGAACACTGTGTTTTCTTCATACATTGTATACTTTCACTATTGTAAATGTTTGTACAGTATCATGATTTGTTTCAGTCTTTAAATCAGAGATATTTTACTTTTAATAATTAATCAATGAAAATTCTTTAAAAACATGTCTGTTGAGCACTGATAACCATTATAGGCACAGGAGACAAGGATAGATGAGGGAGATGTTATGTTTCAGCCAAAGGGTCTTACAATTTACTGGGAGAGTTGGGAATGCATGAGGCAAGCAGGAGTGCAAAGGAGGGAGACTAAGTCCTTGGGGGAGGAGTATTCAGGAAATTTTTCACAGAGAAGGTGAGGTTGTTGCTGAGTATAGAAGTTCCAGACCATCAGGAAGACAAAGATAAAGGGTATTTCTGGCAGAGAGAATTGCATTTATAAAATTATATTGTTATACAAAGCCATGGAGTTTTGAATGAATTGAAACTACGATGGTATTTGTATAGCAAAATATATGTGATGGCAAGTTGGAAAGTTGAGACAAGAGAAGTTAGGCCAAATCACTGTCTTGAGTACATAGTAAATGCATTCTCCTTTATCAAGTATTAACAGTAAGAACAATAATTATTCATGGCATCAGACTCAGTATTCAAGGGCAGAAGCATGACAGCATGAAAGAGAAAAATAAGATACAATGAGAACCTAGTTTGTACCCATTTTAAGGCTAAAGGGTTTTTAAATATAATCATATTGAATTCACATATAATAACATAGCAGAATATATGGTGAATTCCATTCCCATCTACCCTGCCACAGGCTAAGTCCCATGCAGAGGTTCTTGGAGAAACACTTTTGAAACAGAGAACTGTAACTGTAGGCTGCTGTGCTCCTGCAGCTGTAACTGCTGAGTGAGCTAAGAATACCAATTCTTCTGGTATAGAAGAGCTAGTATCAAGTGAATATACCAAAATTTATATACATGCAGAGATTGGCATTGGGTAAATGATATAACCTCTCTAGATATAGTTCCATTTTAAAATATGAAGGAATGGACCAGGTGATGTCCGGTATCACTTTCTGGGGAAAAATGTATTAATAACGCAAAAGATGGTCAATTGTACTAAAACAACAGATAAAATCAAAGGATGAGCTGACTTATTACTTTAGCACAATGAATAACCCTTAGTCTCTACCTCTATAGAGACTGGAATCATAGGGATACATAAGGAATGAATAATCTAGCTGGAAACAGATAAGCAAAAAGATAACTATAGTACCTGCTTGTCAAGATAAAAGTAGAGGGTAAGGCAAACCTCTCAGGAGAGGCCCCAAGGCATAACCAAGTGTGGAGGAAATCAATGAAGACTTCCAAGAAGACACTTGCAGTAAGTTTCTACATAAGAAAGTGAGAAGACATTCTCTTGTCTCCCCAGCTATATTCCTATTATTATTATTCCCTATATGTCCCTGTAAGCCTAATCCCTATATAGGTCCAGATCCAAAAATGAAGGATCATTCATTTTGCTTAAGCAATAAGTGGATCCATCCTATGAGTTTCTCTGTGGTGCTAGGCACCTGTGCAGTGACAGCAGCAAGTGCAAACATTGGATGATCAGAGAATCGGGAGTATTCAGGAAACAAGAAGGTGCTGCAGAGGGCTAGAACAAAGGGAACAAGGGGTTCTGGGGTGTAAAAAGATGAGTCTAGGACTAGCAAGTGCCAGCTCATGAAAGGTTATGTAGGTCATACTGGGAAATTGAATTTATTCTATATGTCATGGGGTGCCATGGATGAATTTGTAAGCATAGAGATCACATGACCACATTTGTATTTTGGAAATCTCCTTTTTGAACATGAGAGAATAAATGATGAAGGAACAGGTGATAACATATGCAGAATTTCAGATGGCAATTGATGAGAGCCAGTACTAATAACTGAGGAAGTGGAAAATAAATGTAAAGAAAACACATTTGATTTCAAGTTTACGATTACATAGTAGAATAGTCTAGATATGGTGACTGTTTAGGTATAGGAAAGAAGGGAACAGAAAGACACAATATCCACTCCCTAGTTTCTGGTTTGATCATTGGGGAAATGGTAAGGGAATTTACTGGAATAATGAATTTAGTTTAGTTTTTTTCTCCAGAATGTAAACTTTATTTTCTGTCCAAGATTAGTTCATCCATCTGTGATTTGGATTCACCGCTCTTGTCTCTTCAGGAATTTCAGCTCAATATTATTTCTTCACTGTATTCTCAACCAGTTGCCCATTTACCCTTTACTCTCAGTGTCACATATTAAAAACAAAACAAAAAAACATTTTAAAAATGCCTACTTATCTCCATGTTCCACCTATTTCCTTGGTTTTTTTTAAGAAATTCTTCCATCATTTCACACTTTTTCTTGAACAATCTACTTTATTACCATCTTCTGTTTAAGACCTTGATATAGCCCATTCAGTCTGATGCTTGATATCAACTCTTCAGCCCTAATTCCTGTTATCTTTCCTCTTCTGTGACTCAGATTCACTCTTAGATCTTATTTGCACTCGCTTTAGCTCATCTCATCCTCCAAATACAGAATCTGCTTCAGCACAGAGCATTTACGATACCATTTCAACCCATTATATGAGTTTCAAGCATGCATATATTTTGGCAGTCTACATTTGCGTCTCATCTCCTACCATCACCTGAAAGCTGATGACTCCCCAATATCGAGTCTAACTAGATCTCTCTTCTGAGGATCAGACCTGTGTATCTACTTGTTTGGTGTCACCTGCATCTGAATGCCTGTACAAGAACTTCATATTACTCATGTCCAAGCTTAAACTCATAAGTGTGCATGCACACACACACACCACAAAATATTTTGCAAGATGCTACACATATATAAGGACATATGTGAAACACATTAGAGTGGATATACAATTAAAATAGCACAAAGTTTTCTTTTTTGATAGGATTATTAAATCTCTAGATGAATCAGGAAATTTGGGCATATAATTAACAATTCTATTTGAAACTATATCTAATTAACTCATCAATAAAGAACTTCAACACTGCCAAAATAAAATCAGAGGTTTTTTTTTTGAGCCATAATGGTGAAAAAAACAAAATGATAGCAATACTTCATGTAAAAAAAAAGTGTCAAGACTTAAATTAGGATAAAATTAGTTCAACCCTTTTTCAACATGCGAGTGTTCAGATTTTTCTTCTAGAGAGATTTCAATGCAAAATAGCAGGCATATTAATTATGAAAGTATAAAATGATGTTATCAAGAAGGTGTCAGTGTGGGTTGAGTGTGAGTCATATAGTTAAGAGGACAGAATCATGTACTTTATAAGTAAAATGCCTATATTTGAATCCCCAGTTTATCCGATTGTAGCTGTGTGACCTCTGACAAGTAATTTATTCACTTTACCTTAGTTTCACCATCTGTGTAATGGGTATGATTTGATACTCACCTTCTCAGGTTGTTATAGTGATTAAATGAGTCTACATGTGTGAAGATTTTACAACAGTTTAAGTGCTATGGGATTGCTTAATATTATTATTCATAAATTATTTTTCCAATACCAACATTATATCAATTGAAATTTGTCTATTTTGAGGCACATTTCACATTTTCTATTTTGAAACTAGTTTCTGGCTTTCAATATAAGACAGCCAGAAGATCCAGCCATTTGAACTTGGATGAAATAATCTACCTGTACAATTGTAAAGGAGATTTTTGTTTGCAAATTTCCTTGTGTATGAGTGGGAAAAAGTATGCAAACGTTTATTCACAACTTTTTGTAACTGATGGGGACACAGCTTTATATAAGTGATGTAAGCAATAATAAAGATTTCAGAAGACCTGAATATGAGAAGAAGACTTTCCCTGACACTTCATTTACTATAAGTAAGTCACAACTTCTAAAATTTTCTACTAATTTTCTACTCTCACTTCTGAGTGTCCAACCTGCCAGTAACAGAGACAAACACCCAAAACGTAACATGGCATTATTGTGACACAGAGGGTAATGACCTACCAGGCAGGTCAATTATAAAAAATTTCTTACATCACTAACGGAGCAGTGAGTTGTCCTCTTATGGATAGACACTTACTCTGAATATGGATTTGCCTTTTCTGTTCAAAATGCTTTTACTGATATCACCATCAATGGACTTACAGAATCCCTCATTTATCATAAATAGTATCCACACATACATTATACAAATTTATTTCACAGAAAATGAAATAAATGGATTTCATCCTGTTCATTCACTGATTTTACCATGTACCACAACATAGAATAGGCCAAACTGCAAAATAGCTTATTGAAGGTTTAGTATGATGCCTTTGGTTGACGATACTTTGTGAGTTTGGGAATCTGCACTTAAAGGCTCAGTATGTGCTCTGAAACAATGATCAATATATAGTGCCATTTGTTTTGTAGCCAGAATACACAAGGCATTGTACCAAGAGGTATTATTACCAGTCATAACACACGCATACAAATGTTGGTTCTAGTCTCAACAACTTTGGTCTTTCCTGGTGTACAGTGTTAATCCCCCCCTAAAAGAAATATTAGGTTGACGCAAACCTAATACTTCCACAAGGGCCACAAGAATCCTTCCAATAAAGATAAAGCTGAAATTAACACCTGTTCTATTTATGATTCAGGGTGCCAGTTAATAGGAAAACAAAAATATTCTACTTGCTTTGTTAATTGATCCTGATTATTAACAGACAATAGAGTGGCTGCTAGACAGTGGGATCAATGTGGACTTGTAATAAGTATGAAAATCAAGTGATTTTCTAGAAGACTTCTGTGTAATTCTGGGTCTAATGGTGAAAGTTGATGGAAGGCATAGCAATTCAATGAAGGCAGGAGCTGCAAGGATTTTGACACTTTAGGAATAAAGGTTTTGGTTCACATCTCTAGTTAAACAACAATGATCAAGTTAAGAGCAAGAGAAATAGTGACTAAGTAGTGGAAGAATTAAGTTATTAATGCCAACTATTGTATTGTGACATACAGAAATCAACACTTTAGATTTAAGCATGTTTTATTCTGCTTACTTCGTTACATATAATATATATCCACTGTGCATATATATAAAATATTATGTTTATATTCAAATATATGCTATTCCATATATGTAACAAAGAAAGAATAATAAACCTATGTTCTCTATATTCTTTGTCTACTATGTTCTATAATTAATTGTAGATAAACTTATATCATCTTAAAATTTAAAATGATCAAAGAGTGTTTGTGACAAGTAGAGAAGGAATAAACATCACCCATTAATGGATAAATGGATAAAGTTTGTTGGGAGGTTAGGATTTTATTTCAGGGGTAGAAAGTGACAGCTTCTTTTTTTTTTTTTTTTTTTTTTTTCTGAGACAGAGTTTCACTCAGTCGCCCAGGATTGAGTGCAGCAGCCGCGATCTCAGCTCACTGCAACCTCCACCTCCCAGGTTCAAGGGATTCTCCTGCCTCAGCCTCCTGAGTAGCTGGGATTACAGGCACACGACACCACACCCGGCTAATTTTTTGTATTTTTAGTAGAGACGGGGTTTCACTATGTTGGCCAGGCTGGTCTCGAACTCCCGACCTCGGGTGATCCACCCGCCTCGGCCTCCCAAAGTGCTGGGATTACAGGCGTGAGCCACTGTGTCCTGCCAGCATCTTCTTTACATCAGAAATAGTCACATCATGTTATGTGAAACAGGATCTATTGCTATTTTTTTCATTTGAAAGTTAAACATAGGCAAAAGAGTGTACATGTATATTGAATTGACTAAAGAGTAGCCCATGCCAGATTGACTGGTTCAAATTGACATAATCCACATACTGATTTACACTTGCTTCTTCAACACAGGAGGAAGATTCAAAACTATAATTCTGAGACTCCACTGAAAACAGAATTTAGGGCAAAATTGTGTCAATAAGAAGAATCAGTATGATATTTGGAAAGTGGAAGAGAAGGTCAAGCTAGTATTCTCTAGCAGCATTATAGGCAGTCTTGAGAAACTGCAAATATGAATTTGCAGTAAACCTAAAATTAACTGCTATTAATTACTTACTTTAGTTCAATAGGCAGCCATGACCATCATCAGTGGCTTTTCTGTGATTCCTGCATTTCCAGATCCCATGAAAACCGAAAGTGTTCTTTCAATGCCTTTTACTTCTACAGCACTTGTAGTGATTAATACTCTTAAGTCTCTATATTAAATTTCTTTCTACTTGAGATGGTTAGGGTGGCATTTGTCATGGTAATTTCTAATGCATACAGGCATGGATCTATATCTTATGCTGAGGAGAACGCATTTGGAAAGTTATTTTAAAAAGTCATCATATTAAATCAAAATTACAATTGAAAAATTCTTAGAACAGTGACACATTAGGGAACAAAAAAAAAAATACCTAAAAGGTTCAATATATAATTTTTAACCATGTGAGCATGTTGTTGCTTTATTAAACACCAGATGAAGTTAATGACTTGCTTTTAGAAGTCATATATGAAAAATGCATATCTTTAAACAATAGAATTTTACTCAACACAAATAGCTACTCACTTTAAGGAAGGTATGCCTGAACTAGGACGAGTCAACGTAACAGCATTGTTATAACAATGTTGAGCCAACTCATGTTTCTCACCTTATTTTTTCGGTAGGATGTACGCACACTGATTGAGATAGTATTTGAAATAACCTCCTCTCTCTCTCTCTCTCTCTCATATTAGCACCTCTCACTCTTACTTTCATTCTCTGTTTCCTAAAACCATAAAGTTGAATTTGCCAAAATGAAATGTGTGTATGATTTATGTCTATTGATTATCGTTTTGTTAATCTCCCCTCTATGCCTTTGAATTATTTATTCCTGTTATTTCAATATGAATATATTATAACCTAGACCTTGACTAATTTAAGTTTTATCAGGAAATCTGTTGCTCAAATTATACCTTATTCTTAAGTTTAATACTTGGGATCAAGTAATAATTCAACATTGTTATAAATAAATCTTTAATAGAATTTTATATGATATAGATTTTGAGTTCACGTTTAGTAATAAATTTTTTGGGGGAGCAGAGAGGAGCACACTAAAGTGAAAACTCTACATCACAAATATGTTTCTATTTAAGCCTTGCAGTGGAGTCCCCAATGTGGCTGTGTCAATACTGATCAGGTAGGGTGTCAGAAATTACCTTGCTTAAAAGCTAATAAGCTAGCCTATTACTATTTCAAAGCTAGACATTTTGGTCAGAGATAAGAACTTTATTACTCACAGCACAATTGACAGCATAATCATCAGAATATTTATGACAGTTCTTCTGGCTCAAGTTCTACAAGGACAACACAGATGAGCCCAAAGAAACGCCTGCCTATACAGTGGGTTGCATTTCAGAGAAGCAGCTTCGAACATAGGGTATGTGAATCTTTTTTTATAATGAGCAGTAAGCATGCCTGCCCTTTGATCCAGATGAAAGCACTGTCTTTATTGTAGAGTAATATATTGTCTTTTGATCCAATGTAAAACACTACCTCTATTTTCCAAGGTTATTCACTATGCAAGCATTCCTGAAGAAATAGTAAGAAGAAAGACAATGTTTTTGCTCACGAGATATACAGACACATGAGAGTCCCTTGAAATATTGTCTCCCAACAAGCTGCCTTTGTAGTCTGAGGCCGACTGCTTCATCATGACTTGTTTTTCACTGCCTGGGAAATGAATTATCGATGTACTGTCTAATGAAATATTTTTTACTTGAAGTCTTTATATTTAATCAAAAATCTAAAAAAAAAGTGCCCCATGAATTTAAATAATGTGAACTCTCAGAAATTGTCAATAAAAAAAAAGAACAGTAGCTTTGACATTTACTTCCTGAATGTAAAAATCAAAATGGAGGCAACAAAAGAGTTTAGTCAAGATTCACCTTCTCCTGAGAGACAAAATCCTATTCAACTATTACCAGATACACACAATGCCCTTCTCCTTATATCAGGGAAAATTTTTCCCCAAAGAAGGCAAGTTCTATAATGTATAGCAGAGTGATCTCTGGACAAGCCTGTGTTTCTTGGTCAATAAAAGTTGGATTGAGGAGAAATAATACCTTACCCCTACTTTGTTTATAAACAAAGTAGAAGATATGGATCCTTTTTTATCTCAGAATACACACACACACACACACACACACACACACACACACACACGGAGACCTACAATTACTGTGTGTCAAATACGTACATATGTGCACATGTGCATGCATATACACAAACATACATAAACAAAAGATAATACATTCTATTTTTTTCCATCTGATGATCAATTTGATTCAAAAATAATAATTTTGGCTCTTCTCTCCTCCTTACCATTTTATGATTTTAGGAATGAGTAACAGTGAGGCAAGAAAGACTGTCATATCAATGGTAGAAATACACAAACATAAGGCATTGCCTACCACAAATCCATAGCAAAAGCAAGAGGTAGAATGTTTATTTCAATCCTGTGATCAGTTACAAGATCAGTTACTAGGCACCTTTCTCATTGTTGAGGATGTAACAGTAAAAATAGTAGGGTAATACAAGTAGAGGAAACACTCATTAGACCTGTAAAGACATTTTATAAACATGGTAACTGACAGACTGACAAAAAATAAATCATTCCAATTTCAAATTTCTTTGGTCAAGATGAATGTGGCTCATAACATGATGCAGAATGAACCAATAAAATGGCAAAACAGTTAAGTCTCTGTGTTCAGAAGGTAGTTTTGACTGGACTTCACATTGCTCTCACACAAAGGGCACAGAACCACAGGGCATATAGGTATCATGTGGGTATAGATCCTCTTTGCTGGTCCAGCTGTGAAATTGACACTGCAAGTAGGGGCTGTGTTCTACCAACCACCTGGTATTCAAAAACATACCAATCATTTATCAACTCTTAATAGGCAACATCTATATGGATATTATTGTCCCAGACATTATTAAGTGTGCAGCAAGAGACTCAAGCTCTGGGGTTTAAATTTCTGAGGTAATAATCAACCTCTTTGTATTAGTCCATTCTCACGCTGCTATGAAGAAATACCTGAGACTGGGTAATTTATAAAGGAAAGAAGTTTAATTGCCTCACAATTCCACAAGGCTGGGGAGGCCTCAGGAAACTTACAATCATTGCAGAAGGGGAAGCAAACACATCTTTATTCACATGGTGGCAGCAAGGAGAAGTGCCGAGCAAAAAGAGAAAAGCCCCTTATAAAACCATCAGATCACACGAGAACTCACTCAGTATCACAAGAACAGCATGCAGGTAACCGTCCCCATGATTCAATTACCTCCCACAGGGTCCCTTCCATGACACATGGGAATTATGGGAACTACAATTCAAGATGACATTTGGGTGGGGACACAGCCAAACCATGTCATTCTGCTCCTGACCCCTCCCAAATCACATGTTCTCACATTTCAAAACACAATCATGCCTTTGCAACAGTCCCCCAAGGTCTTAACTCATTCTGGCATTAACCCAAAAGTCCAAGTCCAGAGTCTCATCTGAGACAAGGCAAGTGCCTTTCGCTTATGAGCCTGTAAAATCAAAAGCAAGTTAGTTACTTCCTAGATACAATGGGGTTACAGACATTGGGTAAATACACCTATTCCAAATGGGAGAAATTGGCCAAAATGAAGAGGTTACAGGCCCTATGCAATTCCAAAATCCAGTGGGACAATCAAATCTTAAAGCTCCAAAATGATCTCCTTTCACTCCATGTCTCACATCCAGGTCACACTGATGCAAGAGGTAGGTTCCCATGGTCTTGGGCAGCTCCAACCCTGTGACTTTGCAGGGTACAGCCCCCGCCTCCTGGCTGCTTACATGGGCCAGCATTGAGTGCCTGCAGCTTTTCCAGGAACACAGTGCAAACTGTCAGTGGATCTATCATTCTGGGGTCTGGAGGGTGGTGGCCCTTTTCTCACAGCTCCACTAGGCAGTGTCCCAGTGAGAACTCTGTGTGGGGGCTCTGACCCCACATTTCCCTTCTGCACTGCCCTAGCAGAGGTTCTCCATGAGAACCCCTGCAGCAAACTTCTGCCTCCAGACCTTTCCATACATCCTCTGAAATCTAGGCAGAGGTTCCCAAACCTCAATTCTTGACGTCTGTGCACCCACAGGCCCAACACCATGTGGAAGCTGCCAAGGCTTGGGGCTTTCACCCTCTGAAGCAATGGCCTGAACTGTACATTGGCCCCTTTTCGCCACAGCTGGAGCAGCTGGGACACAGGGCACCAAGTCCCAAAGCTGCACATGGCAAGGGGAGCCCTGGGCCCAGCCCACAAAGCCATTTTTCCTTCCTAGGCCTCTGGGCCTGTGATGGGAGAGGCTGCCATGAAGGTCTCTGACATGCCCTGGAGACATTTTCCCCATTGTCTTTGAGATTAACATTTGGCTCCAAGTTACTTATGCAAATTTCTGCAGCAGACTTGAATTCCTCCCTAGAAGATGGGTGTTTCTTTTCTATCACATTGTCAGGCTGCAAATTTTTCAAATTTTTATGCTGTGCCTCCTATTGAATGCTTTGCTGCTTAGAAATTTATTCTGCCAGATACCCTAAATCATCTCTCTCAACTTCAAAGTTCCACAGATCTCTAGGGCAGAGGCAAAATGCTTCCAGTCTCTTTCCATAGCAAGAGTGACCTTTACTCCAGTTCCCAACAAGTTCTTCATTTGCATCTAAGACCATCTCAACCTGGACTTCATTGTCCATATCACTATCAGCATTTTGGTCAAAGCCATTCAACAAGTCTCTAGGAAGTTCCAAACTTTCCCAAATCTTCCTGTCTTCTGAGCCCTCCAAGCCTCTAGGAAGCTCCAAAGTTTCCCACATTTTCCTGTCTTCTTCTGAGTCCTCCAAACTGTTCCAACTTCTGCCTGTTACCCCGTTCCAAAGTTGCTACCACATTTTTGGGTATTTTTACAGCAGCACCCCACTATCTGGTACCAATTTATTGTATTCGTCTCTTCTCTTGCTGATATGAAGAAACACCAGAGACTGGGTAATTTATAAAGGAAAGAGGTTTAATTGTCTCACAGTTCTGCAGGGCTGGAGAGGCCTCAGGAAACTTATAATCATGGCAGAAGGGGAAACAAACACGTTCTTCTTCACATAGCAGCAGCAAGGAGAAGTTCCAAGCAAAAGGGGAAAAGCCCCTTATAAAACCATCAGATCTCATGAGAACTCACTCACTCTCATGAGAACAGCATGGATGTAGCCACACCCATGATTCAATTACCTCCCACTGGGTTCTCCTCACATGTGAGGATTATAAGAACTACAATTCAAGATGAGATTTGGGTGGGGAGACAGCCAAACCATATCACTCTTCATACTATTAGTTGTAATATTGGTATATATTTTAATCTATGTAAACCTTAACTTCATATCCTGGAAGAAGAAGTAAAAACCATGTGTCTATGTTGTCTGAAATTGCATCCTGGTATCTTCCCTTACCAGTTGTGTGAATTTATGCTAATTATGTAATCTCTCTGGGCCTCAGTTTTTGTCTTTATTTGTTTTTGAGACACAGTCTTGCTCTATTGCCCAACCTGAAGTGCAGTGGTGAAATCATACCTCATGGCAGCCTCCAACTCCTGGGATCTAGAGATCCTTGAACCTCAGCCTCCAAAGTAGCTAGGATTACAGGTGTGCACCACCATTCCCAGCTAACTTATTTTTTATTTTTTTATTCTCTTGTGGAGAGAGGGTCTTCCTATGTTTCTCAGGCTTGTCTCAAACTCCTGGCCTGAAGTGATCCTCCTGCCTCAGCCTCCCAAAGTGTTAGGATTACAGGCATGAGCCACCACACCTGGCTCTGGACCTCAGTCTTATTGGTCATAAAAATGGTGGAAGAAATAGTATTGACCTAATAGGGCTGTTGTGAGAATGCAATGAGTTAATTTAATACAAGAAAGCACTTGGAAAAGTGTCTGGCTCATGCCAACCATGTTAGTAGGAAAACATAAAAAGTTCAATAAAAGAAATGGTTTGTTATTCAAAGTAGGAGACACAGTATTTTAGCTGAAAAAGTTTTAAATACAGGTTGTAGAGATATGACACACACAACTAGATAATTCAGTATCTGGAGATGCATATGGCAAGACATTGCAATATCAAATAAATGATAAGAAAACCATCAGTGATGTGGGCACCCAGAGGAAGGAGAGATCCACAGAAGGACAAGAGTATGGAAAACCTTCCAAGTGGAAGAGTCTCTTGTGGATGTTGAAACATTTTTGGCATTCAAATGGGTGATGAAGCCATGAGATAAAATTTACAATTGATACAGAACTTCATCATGACCTGACTTCTCACCACCTCTCTGACCTCTCCCTTGCCTTCTTTTTACCTTGCAATCAGTATGCTTCAATCACTATTTCCCCTTTTGATTTAATAAAGATACCAAATCTTCCTGGCATCAAAGCAACACATATGTTCTATGTGCCTGGAACTTTCTTCCCCTACTTTTTGTCAGGTAAATCCTTCTCATACTACAGGTCTCATCAACAAGAAGGCTATTCTTACCCTCTGCCTTCACCAGATAGGATGGCTTCCTGATACAGTCTGCACTCCCTCATAGCACTATCACCAATTGTAAATATTTATTTTTGTAATTATTTGTTTGATCCCTACATTTCCCTATAGAATATAAGTCCACTAAGGGCATAAGCAGTCTCCACTTTATTAATAACTGATTCTCTGTTTTCTAGCACAGTGTTTGATATGGCATAGGGGCTCATTTAATCATCAGTATTAGTTGAATCAATATTGTTAAAATGGCCATACTGCCCAAACCAATCTACAGATTGAAAACTATTCCTATTAAACTACCAATGTCATTTTTTCACAGAATTAGAAAAAACATACTATTTTAAAATTCATATGAAACCAAAAAAAAAAAGAGGGGCTAGGAGTTGAAAAGCAACCTGTTAGGTACTATGCTCACTACCTGCGTGATGGGTTCAATCGTATCCCAAACCTCAGCATCACACTATATACTGCTGTAACAAACTTGCACATATAGCCCCTGAACCTAAAATAAAAGTTGGAATAAAAAACCAGTATTTGGGGGGTTAATGAATAAGGGTAAAGAGGTAGAATAATGCAACAGACTCAGAAAATATTAACACTTCTCTTGGTTTTGCTATTAACTAATAATAGTCACAAAGTCAAACACAGTATTAAGTTTTATTATACATTACTTCTCCTCAAAACAACTTCCCCAGGTTACATGTTAACTTCCCCAGGTTACATACTATTATCCCAACTTTATAGATGAGAAAACTGATGTTAGGAAGCTGATTATCTTGATTAAAATCACACAGCTAAGCCTAAGTTACAAAATAGACCAAATAGTGTGGGGCCTTGGAAAAAACATGTGAGGGTTTTACACAAAGATATGCCTGGGTTTTAGTCATAGTTCTGTCCCTTACTAGTCATATGTCTCTTGTAAACTAAGCTTCTCTAAGCCTCATTTTTCTCAAGAGTTAGATCCAGTGCTGTCAATAAATTAGAAATAATTTATCTGAAGTACCTAGACCATAATTGGTATTCAATCACCAATTATTTGCAGGGAGCTGGTAATATATCACTAGGGGGAAAAACCGAGATACATCCCCAAGTGGTGATAGATAACTTACAGAAGTGGATGAGATCTCCAAAGAGGACAGTATAAAAGAGTCAGCACAGCAGTCCTCAGAGACTTAACATGAACATTAAGGTAATCTGTAAAGTTGAATTTCCCCAGTGAATTCACACCCTTGGTAGTCTCCTCTGCTTGAATCATGGCTGTTTCTGTATTTTACTTAACTAGTAGAAAGTGGCAAAAGTGATGCTCTTCAAGTTCTGAGCCTAAGACTAAAGAGCAATTGGAAAGTTGGGGGACTTCTGCTCTTCTTATTGTGGACACCCTGAGCAGGAGTCCTGCTGGAGAGACCATACGGAGAGACTTGGTGGAGAAGTCATGTGGAGGGGTAGGAGCACTAGTACTATAGAGGAAAGAAAGGAGAGAGAGAAAGAGGAAAAGAGAGAATGTGAGAGAGAGAGAGAGAGATTCAGGTATGTTGATGTCTCAGCTGAACCTAGCCTTCCAACTTCCACATAAACCCAAGAAGCCAGACCTGGGAGTGAAACATCTTGGACGTTCTAAGTCACAATGTGACTACAACAGCACAAGACGTGTCAAGTGAGAATAGCAAAAGAAACTGCCCATCTGAGTTCCAGTCAACCCATAAAACTGTGAGGAATATTAAAACAACTGTTTTGTCATCCATTGTTTTAGAGTAGTTGGTTATGCAGCAATAGATAAACAAAACAGACATTAAAATGCTGTATCAATTTTTACCTATAGGCCATCTGGCCCCAGTGTTTTTCTGAGGAAAAGGACTTGTCTTAGGAGGATGATAGTCCTGTTCATAATATTATTCTCACAAATAAAAGATTTATTAGCTTGCCCTATTTTCCCATTATGGGCTGGTGATTTGAAATTTATTTAAGCCATGCTTGAATGTATTCATATCTTCCGTCTGCATAACTTTTGGGCATAAGTATTACATATGTCTACAATCCATCATGCCAACTGTCCTTTCTACAATTCTCAAAGAAATTATTTTAAATGCTAAATATTGATTCTATTTTGCCTTTTAAGCCAACATTCTCCAAAGAAAAGACAAAAGAGATTGAAAGAAAATGAGATAATGTATCTGTAACATTCAATAAAACATCCCATGATTTGCACTTTTGAATTTGACTTAATTACTTATTAATATCCTAGAATTCACATAATAATATCTATGATGAAGACAGTTTATCTAGTTTGTGACAAACTTCTCAATCTGTTCACCTTCCTTATGTACCAGCCTCCCTCCATTTCACCATGAAATGCTAGGGTATTGCATGATCAGAGACACGTGTGTTAACTCTACATTACTGCCTTATGTTTATGTCAGAGGAGAAGCTCAGATCTCCATATTATTATTGGAAATTTTCATCTACAATTACTTTAAGATATAAGTATTTTATCAAAAAGAATTTTATCTGTTCTTGTTTGTCTATCTCCTAACTTCAGAGAAGGAAAGGCTCTCCCCTTTTACAGATAGCCATTGTCATATTCCAGGGATGTAGGACTTTCATGACTTGTTTTACTTTTCTTAAAAAACTTCTACAAATTTGTGGCTGCAGATTTGGAGGACCAGGGCAAAATGAGGGAGGAATAGGTTAGAAAAGATGAGAATAGGAAGAAAAGTTGAGTTTGCTCTGAACCTTATTAAGTATGGCCTGAGTGGAGAAGTTAGAAGCTGACTCTGTGTAGGGCAATTAAAAATAAAAGCTGGAACTTCTGTGGTTCAGGCCCACATGTGAACTAAAGAGAGGGGGAAGGAAGAGGCCAGGTATCTGATGAACAATAAAGCAGTGGGTGCATATGTGGGGTCAAAAAAGGAAAGCAATGAGTCAAACCTCAAACTTATGCATTCAGGTGTCAGTGGGTAAATGCATAGAATAAGAAATAGCTGATGGTCACTGATGGAGGTCATCAGGGGATTAGTGGAAACCAAAGAATACATTTTAAAAAATGAAGTACAATTAACTAGGAATGATCAAACAATAAGAGAGACAATCCTTCTCTAAAACATCCTGACTCTCACCCTGCTCTCCTTTGTTATTTCTGGGCCTAGAACAATTTCCACTTTCAATTAACTTGCTTTATAAAAGGAATGAAGAGTGACTCTATCTCTCACATACCTTGCTCTGCCTTTGTTGTAATCAGCACTGTGAATTGAAATGCCTTATCAAATAAGTGTTTTTGAAGGCAATAGACAACACTGTTGGTTGACAAAGCAGTATCATAAAGTCACTTGCTGTTTCTGCTTGGCCCCTGCACAAGAAACCACACTTTGCTCCTTCCAAAATAAGGAGAAATGAAATGATCCTTTGTGGTGGAGGGAATTTTTAAAGTCATACTTTATATTCTGCCTGAAGACAAAATTAAATCACAATTCATGAGTGGTTTAGATCATACACAGGGCTAGAGAACAGATGAACATACAGGTAATAAGACAATAAATGTTTAAAACTGCATATAACATCATCAGCTAAATGGCCTTTGAGGACCAATGTTAAGTAACATTTAGTGCAGAAAGGGATCTACAATGGAACTATTACCAATCCATGCATTATCTATGGAGATCTCAAATAAAAAAGCTAACTTTACAGTTTAAGAAACTGAAGGAAGAAAAACAAACTAAACCCAAAGTTAGCAGAAGGCAGGAAACAATAAAACATCCCTTTGTATACCTTAAATAGATACGATGTTTATTTTTCAGTTATACTTCAATAAAGTTTGAAAAAAGGAAAGAATTCTCCCCAGTTTATGAACTACATATACAGATTCTTATATAGGACACTACAAAAATACTCAACCCTGTGGAGAGAAAATAAATTTATCTTGCTTGTCCAAATCAACTTATTGGTAGTTAGTGTCAGAGCATTGAGTAACAGTGGATTGTGAGGCTCTACTTGGCTCAGTGGAGAGGAAGGCAGTGAAAAGAGAGCTAGGGTGACTGAGAAGATGGTTTGGAGGGTGTAGGACAACAAATACCATATGTATGTATGTATGTGTGTAAATATATATTATTATATATATTTTGTATATGTATAAAGTATTTATTTATTTATTTATTTTGAGGCAGAGTCTCGCTCAGTCGCCCAGGCTGGAGTGCAGCAGCCGTGATCTCGGCTCACTGCAACCTCTGCCTCCCTGGTTCAAGCAATTCTCCTGCCTCAGCCTCCTGAGTAGCTGGGACTACAGGCACATGCCACCACACCTAGCTAATTTTTGTATTTTTAGTAGAGATGGGGTTTCACCATGTTGACCAGGCTGGTCTCTAACTCCTGACCTCAAGTGATCCACCCGCCTCCACCTCCAAAAGTCCTGGGAGCCACCGTGCTTGGTCTTTATTTATTTATGAGACGGAGACTCACTCTGTCGCCCAGGCTGGAGTGCAGTGGCGCAGTCTTGGCTCACTGCAACCTCTGCCTCCTAGGTTCAAGCGATTCTCCTGCCTCAGCCTGCCGAGTAGCTGGGATTACAGGCACACACCACCACGCCCTGCTAATTTTTTGTATTTTTAGTAGAGACGGGGTTTCACGATGTTGGCCAGGCTGGTCTCCAACTCCTGACCTCAAGTGATCCACCTGCCTTGACTTCCCAAATTGCTGGGATTACAGGCGTGAACCACCATACCTGGCCTATTTTATATATATATACATACATATATATATGAATACATATATCAATATATGTGTGTGTGTGTGTGTGTGTGTGTGTGTGTGTGTGTGTGTATATTTTTTTTTTTTTTTTGAGACAGGGTCTCACTCTTTCACCCAGGCTGGAGTGCAGTGGCTTGATCCTGGCTCACTATACCCCTGACCTCTCTGGGCTCAGATGATCTTCCCACCTCAGCCTCCCGAGTAGTTGGGACTGCAGGGGTGCACCACCATGACTGGCTAATTTTTTTATTTTTCGTAGAGACAGGATCTCACTATGTTGCCCAGGCTGGTCTCAAACTCCTGGACCCAAGCAATCCACCCACCTTGGCCTCCCAAAATGCAGGGATTACAGGCATGAGCCACGATGCCTAACCACAGATACCATATATTGAAAATTTTTCTCAAATTCAGTCTTCAATATTTAGAGTGGGACCATTTAAATAGATATAAAATTGGGGGAAAAGCATGTTTTCATGACTGATAGAAACATTCTTTTGAATGTGTCTTAACTAGTAAAATCAGCATGTCTAATAAAACAAAAGAAATCCACTAAGTAAAAATAATGTCAGGAAGAGTAATATTTGTCAGTGAACATTCAGCATTGCCAAGGGACAGAGATGTTGATATCTCTACTTTCATGTTTGCTCCCTAGTTGTCCTCAATACAAATGGCAGCATTATTTTCTAAGAGTCAGATATCACCCTTTTATTAGCAACACTCTAATGACTCTCTCTCCCACTCAGAGTCAAAGTCAAAGTTGTTTCAATGATCTCCATAACTCTCTAAGATCTGAATAGTCATCGCCTCTCTAATAACCTCTTCTATTACTTCTCACTCATCATGTTGCAGCCACATCTACCTCCTGGATATTCCTCTGACTCACCAGACATGCTACTGCCTTGGGGCCCATTTTTAAGCTATTTGCTCTGTCTGGATTCTCTATTCCCAGAATTCCTTTCCAAATCTTTGCTTAAATATCACCTTCTCAATGAGGTTATCCCTGATTACTTAATTCCCCTTAACGCTACCCTATCTTCTTTACCCTGCTCCAATTTTTACTGTTTTTCATATCACATATTACCTTCAAATTTATTATATTTAGTGTTTCTAATATGTCTGCCCACACCTACCACCTCTAGAAAAATGTGATCTTCAAATGGGCATATATCTGGCCTATGATAGTACTTGATGTTTCACAGATGCTCAATCAACTTGTGTTGAATGATTGTGACTATATTCTAGGATAAGGCAATTTCCTGGACCTTTCCAGATGTTAGGCATAAATCCCCTTAAATTGTGTTGCTTATCTCATTCTCAGTTTGTGTCACAAAGCAAACTGATGTATTATTCGGTTTCCAAAATGCCTGGAGAGTGGAAAATGAAGCTATGGATAGGGGATTAACACATGCCTCTTTTACTTTATTAGACATGATGGTATCTGGGGAAAACTATTCTTTATTAACATGAATAAGTAAGTTTCTCTTTAACATACTAGTTTCATGTTATTTAGTGTAAATCTACTGCAAATTGAATAGTCACCTCTGGGCATATTAATTTCATTCTTTTCTATGCCTGAAAAACTGAGGAGGGGAAACCAGGTTCTAGCATAACATGACTTATACCAAGTGCTAATCCTGAAAGGATGACTGGTTTGCAGCCTTCCATGACATCCACCACCGCTTTTCAAGCTTTTCCTGACCCTGCAGGCATGGGAGATACCGTAAGTAAAGAGACCAAAGATTAATTATTCTGCAATCTGACCAAATGTTGAAAGTTTAAGCATTCCATTATCTAATTAATGACACAGACCCACACAGTGTGCTAACATAGTGTATAGGTTTGAAAAGTACCATGTGACTGTTATAGGGTTCAGGCTATGGTGCAAGATAAAGGTAGTGATTCTTGACTAGACCATAAATATAAAGAGGAAAGAAGACACATATGTATGGATAGAATCTACACACAGAGATCCCTGAAAATCATAACTTGTGTCTATTTCATTATTTTCTAGCTGATGTGTCTGCCTATAACCCAGATGATTCTACTGCTCATTGGATATTGTCTCAGGATGTCCCCATGTATAATGTCAACTATTATTTTTATTATTATTATTTATCAGAGCAATGCCATCACCATCTTTAGATGCTGTTGAGAGGAAGCCAGCACTATTTGGGAAAAGATCAACAATATTAATAGGGGAAGAGGGAACTGAAGATTTGTAAATATCAAGAAGAAATAGACTTACCCTGATGAAAGTCAGAAAACTGGGTATAATATGAGGTATAAATACTAATTAGCCTTATATCTTTGACCAATTTATATCCTGTCTCTGGACTTCAGCTGAAATGTCTGTGAAATGAAGATACTGAGTTAGATAATTTCTAAGGTCTCTGGAGCCTATGGCTGTGTTCATATAATGCTGATGTTACATAAAAGAGCAAGGTTAGGGTCAGTCTTGTATGGGGACACACAAGATGAAAAATTAAGCTTGCATTAATAATAACTATGACTTATATAGAACATCCTTCATACCAAGAATCCACAGTAATTGTCAGCTTACAAAAAAAAAAAAAAAAACGATCCAGAGAAGCTGCCCATAGACTCATGGCTAATATGAAGTAGAGTCAGGGTCATAACTTAGGCAATCTGGTCCAGATTCCATGATCTTAGTTGTCCTCCTCACTGCTTTGTGCTTAAAACTAATACCTATCTTTTATCTGTCAGTAATAGTGGGAGGGAGGCCATTGAGTAGCTCAAGAGTTTTCAGTAATTTATGTTATACAGGTTGAGCATCCATAATTGCTAAATGCTCCAAACTTCAAAACTTTATGAACACCTACTTGGCCCCACAGGTGGAAAGTTCCACACCTGATCTCATGTGGTGGGTCATGGTCAAAATGCAGGTGCACAATGATGAAGATGACATGGTTAACACTGCAGAAAAAAGTGCCTGTACATGACATGGTGAATATGTGTGATTAGCTTATTGAAGGACGAGATCCATGTGCATTCATAACAAAGTGCAAAATCATATCACTTTATAAAAATCCGAGAGAGACTTCTAAGACAAAAACCTTGTTAAATAAGGCCAATGACTCTGGAGGAAACATTTTTAAAAGCCATATAGCAGAATGTCTCCTCATCCCTAGAGGATACAATTCCTGGTCCCTCAACTGCTTCTGATGTTTCTTCTCATCTAAAAAACGAAAATACAGTGTACAATAACATTTTGCTCAAAACAGCATTGTAGGTGGAGTCTGAAGGCCTGCCATTGTTTGTTGTTGCAGTTTTTAAACAACTGATACAACTATACTGAGGATGCTATTACGCTGCTTAGCTACCCTGAACACATTATATTTTCACTATACTAAGGGTATGTCATATTTTTTATGTATGTATCGGTAAGTACTTATGTATCAGTAAGTGTAAGAAAATGATTGCTTATGGGTAGCATGTAAATTCAGAGTCAGGAATGATGATGGTGATGCTAAACAATCACAGACTGTACACATGAGTGACTGAGATAGTGACACTTTTGCTTTCTGATATTTCAATGAAAGAAATTTTCTTTTATGCACAAAATTATTAAAAGTTTTGTATAAAATTACATTCAGAAGATTTGTATAAGATGCATATAAAAATAAATTTTGTGTCTTGATGTGGGTCCTATCCTCAAGATATCTCATTATGTATGTGCAAATATCCCAAAATCCCCCCAAAAAGTTATCCAAAATCCCTCCAAAAAGTTATCCAAAATCCGAAACACTTCAGGTCCCAAGCATTTTGGATAAGAGATACTCAACCTGCAATAGTTCGAATGCGCTAAGAAAACTACAAAATACATTATTGAGAGAGAGAAGAAAAAACAACTAAATTGACCCTAATCATTCCTATCCCTAAGGGAGGTAAGTTAAGAGTAAATTAGAAACTGTGTTTGCTTTTGGCTGATACTCTGAAGCTTTGATATGTGCATCAGGCTTCCCTTGGCCCTCAGGTTCTCAGGTGACAGTTTCACACCTTTTTAGCTCCTTACATTTCCAAGCACCTTGTTCTAATTTTTGGAGGTTGACCTTGCTTTCTACTTACTGACTGAGAAATTCTAGAACCTTGTACTACTAAATCTTCTCCCTGCCAGCATCTGTGTTCTTGCACTCTGCCTTAACTTATATGGCTATAGATAAACTTTCTGTGCTGCTGTTCATAGCCAATATCTCCACCTTCATCAGTAGATCCCATTCCCTTTCTCCTACTTGAGGCTATTATTCCAGCAACTTTATCTTCTCTCCCATATCATCATTTTTTTTTATCTTTCAACGGGATAATTCCCATTATATTTACAAATGTATATTATTAATTTCATCTTTTTTTTTTTTTTTGAGAAAGAGTTTCGCTCTTCTTACCCAGGCTGGAGTGCAATGGCATGATTTCGGCTCACTGCAACCTCCACCTCCCGGGTTCAAGCGATTCTCCTGCCTCAGCCTCCTGAGTAGCTAGGATTACAGGTATGTGCCACCACACCCGTCTAATTTTGTACTTTTAGTAGAGACGGGGTTTCTCTATGTTGGTCAGGCTGGTCTCAAACTCCCAAACTCAGGTGATCCGCCCACCTTGGCCTCCCAAAGTGCTGGGATTACAGATGTGAGCCACTGCGCCAGGCCTAATCTCATCTTAAAATTATATCTTGCCTCACAGCCACTACCTAATTTCTTTGTTCCTATTTGTAGCACAATTCTTCAAAATTATTGTCCATTCTGCCGCTACTTTGTCTCGGCCAGTTCTCTCTTCAGTCTCGTCTACACCTCTCTCCCTCACTACTCCTCTGAAATGGTTCTCATCAACGTCACCACTGACCTCCACTTGCTGCATCCAGCAAACAATTCTCAACTTTCTTCATTTTTAAAAACTTTTCATCTTTATCAAGGTGTAACTGACAAATAAGAACTATATATTTAAGTTGTACAACTTGGTGTTTTGATATATGTATACATTTTGAAAGATCATTACAGTGAAGCTAATGAACATATCTATCACCTAACATAGTTAACATTTTTTGTGGTGAGGACACTTAAGATCTTCACTCTTTAAAAATTTCCACTAAACAATATTGTGAACTGTAACCCCCTTGCTGTACATTAGATTTCTAGAACTCACTTATCATGAATAACTAAAGCTTTGTACCATTTGAGCAACATCTCCTGATTTTTCTCTCCCCACTACCCCTGGTAACCACCATTCTATTCACAGCTTTTATGAGTTTGACTATTTTATATTCCACTTATACGTGAGATCATGCAGTATCTGTCTTTCTGTGTCCAGTTTATTTCACTTAATATAATGTTATCCAGGTACCTCCATGTTGTCAAAAATAGCAGGACTTCCTTTTTCTGAAGGTTTGATAATATTTCTTTATTTTCTTTATCCATTCATCCTTCAAATGACATTTAGGTTGTTTCCGTATTTGGGTATTGTGAATAATGCTGCAGTGAACTTAAGAGTGCAGATATCGGCCAGGCGCAGTGGCTCACACCTGTAATCCCAGCACTTTGGGAGGCCAAGGCAGGCGGATCATGAGGTCAGGAGATCGAGACCATCCTGGCTAACATGGTGAAACCCCATCTCTACTAAAAATACAAAAAAATTAGCTGGGCGTGGCGGTGTGCACCTGTAGTCCCAGCTGCTGGGGAGGCTGAGGCAGGAGAACGCGTGAACCTGAGAGGCTGAGCTTGCAGCCACTGCACTCCAGCCTGGGTGACAGAGCAAGACTCCTTCTCAAAAAAAAGAAAAAAAGAAAAAAAAAAGAGTGCAGGTATCTCTGTCCAATGGAACAAACAGAATAGAGAGAACAGAAATAAATACACATATTTACACTAAATTGAGCTTTGACAAAGGTGCCAAAAACACATGAAGAAATAATATTCTCTTAGAAATGATGTTAGGAAAACTAGATATCCACATGCAAAAGAATGAAATTGCACCTTTATCTCACAATGTACACAAAAACCAACTCAAAATGGATTAAAGACTTAAATGGAACTGTTAAACTACTAGAAGAAAATGTAGTGAAAAAGTTTCTTGACTTTGATCTGGGCAATGACTTATAAAATATGATATGAAAACCACCGGCAACAAAAGCAGAAATAGACAAATGGGATGGCATTAAACTAAAAAGTGCCTGCACAGCCAAAGAAGAAATCAACAGAGTAATCTATGGAATGGGAGAAAATATTTGCAAACCAAAATTGACAAATGGGACCTAATTAAAGAGCTTCTGCACAGCAAAAGAAACTATCATCAGAGTGAACAGACAACCTACAGAATGGGAGAAAATTTTTGCAATCTATCTGACAAAGGTCTAATATGCAGCATCTACAAGGAATGTAAACAAATATACAAGAGAAAAACAAACAGCCCCATTAAAAAGTGTGCAAAGGACATGAACACACACTTCCCAAAAGAGGACATTTATGCAGCCAACAAACACATGAAAAAAAGCTCAACATCACTGATGATTAGAGAAATGCAAAGCAAAACCACAATGATATACCATCTCATGCCAGTCAGAATGGTGATTATTAAAAAGTCAAGAAACAACAGATGCTGGCGAGGCTGTGGAGAAATAGGAATGCTCTTACACTGTTGGTGGGAATGTAAATTAGTTCAACCATTGTGGAAGACAATGTGGCCATTCCTCAAAGACCTAAAAGCCGAAATACCATTTGACCCAGCAATCCCATTACTGGCTATATACCCAAAGGAATATAAATCATTCTATTATAATGATACATGCATGGATTATGTTTATTGCAGCATGATTCACAATAGAAAAGACATGGAATCAACCAAAATTCCCATCAATAATAGAATGGATAAAGAAAATGTGGTACATATATACCATGGAATATTATGCAGCCATGAAAAGAAATGAGATCATGTCATTTGCAGGGACCTGGATGGAGCTGGAAGCCATTATCCTCAGCAAACAAATGCAGGAACAGAAATCCAAACACTGCATGTTCTCACTCATAAGTGGGAGCTAAAGAATGAGAACACAAGGACACAGGGAGAGGAACAACATACTGGGGCCTGTCTTTGGGGGTGGGGTGGGGGTAGGGAGAGCATCAGGAAAAATAGCTCATGGATGCTGGGCTTAAATACCTGGTGACGGGTTGAATACCTAGGTGATGGGTTGATAGGTACAGGAAACCACTATGGCACACGTTTACCTATGTAACAAACCTGCACATGTATTCTGAAACTTAAAATAAAATAGAAAATATTTGCAAACCATGCATATGGAAAAGGAGTTCATATTAAAAACAAGTAAGGCATTTATAAAACTCAGTAGCAGAAAACAAACAAATAACCCAGCTAAAAATGGACAGAATACATGAACAGACATTTCTTAAAAGAAGACATAAATGGGCAACAGGTGCATGAAAAGGTTATCAGAATCACTAATAATCAGGGAAATGCAAATCAAAACCACAATGAGATACTACCTCACACCTGTTAGAATGGCTATTGTCAAAAATACAAAAGATAACAAGCGTTGGTGAGGATATGAAGAAAGCGGAACACTAGTACACTGTAAATTGGAATCTAAATTGGTACAGCCAATATAGAAAACAGCATGGAGGTTTCTCAGAGTATTAAAAATAGAACTACCCTAGGATCTAGCAATTCAGTCTTCTAAATTTGCCTCTCAGCAGTTTTTAATGGAAGTGATCCCTCCCTTTTCCTTGAAATATTGCCCATTTGTCTTCCAGAGCATGTTATTCTTTTGTTGTAATCCTTTTCAACTTCCTTTTCTCTTTCTTCCTCTTCTTGCTGCCCTTAAACCTTGGAGTTTCCCAATGTTCAGTCCTAGGTCCCTTCCTTACAAGCTTGGTAAAAACTCCCATGACTTCAAATATTATCTAATTGCTTACTACACTGAAATGCATATCCTAGCTTTGAACTCTGTGCTGGACTTCATACTTCAAAAGTATATCCAAATTTTACATTCAGTAATTCTACTTTTATGCTTAACATGAAATTTAAGTTGAGTACGTCTAAATTTGAACTCTATAAAAAATATTTATCCCAAATCTGCTCCATTCACAATGTCTGTTGAGGGCAATTATTATTTCAGTTTTTCAGGACAAAAACCTTACTCTTGACTTCTCTCTTTCTTTCACACATCTCATCTAAACCACCATAAAACAGCAAGATGTATCCATTTAGAACTAACTGGGATCACGTCACTCTGCTTAAATCCTCCAATGCCTGTCTAGTCCACTCTGGATAAAAGCCTACGTCCTTACTTGGTGTGGCACTCTGTTACAGCTCTGACTTCGTCTTTTTCTCCTTCCTCTTTTTCACTCCACTCTCTCTGTCCTGGCTTCTGTGTTGTTATTGGAACACACCATGTACTCTCCTACCTTGGGAACTTTGCTCAGAGATTTCTTCAGCTTGGAAGACTTTTTTTTTTTATATACTTTAAGTTCTAGGGTACATGTGCACAATGTGCAGGTTTGATACATATGTATACATGTGTCATGTTGGTTTGCTGCACCCATGAAGCCGTCATTTACATTAGGTATTTATTTCTTCTAATGCTATCCCTCCCCAAGCCCCCCACCCCCTGGTGTGTGATGTTCCCCTCCCTGTGTCCAAGTGTTCTCATTGTTCAATTCCCACCTATGAGTGAAAACATGCAGTGTTTGGTTTTCTGTCCTTGTGATAGTTTGCTGAGAATGATGGTTTCCAGCTCCATCCATGTCCCTGCAAAGGACATGAACTCATCCATTTTTATGGCTGCATAGTATTCCATGGTGTATATGTGCCACATTTTCTTAATCCAGTCTATCATTGATGGACATTTGCATTGGTTCCAAGTCTTTGCTATTGTGAATACTGTTGCAATAAACATATGTGTGCATGTGTCTTTATAGCAGCATGATTTATAATCCTTTGGGTATACACCCAGTAATGGGATGGCTGGGTCAAATGGTATTTCCAGTTCTAGATCCTTAAGGAATCGCCGCACTGACTTCCACAATGGTTGAACTAATTTACACTCCCACCAACAGTGTAAAAGCCTTCCTATTTCTCCACGTACTCTCCAACATCTGTTGTTTGGTGACTTTTTAATGATTGTCATTCTAACTGGTGGGAGATAGTATCTCACTGTGGTTTAGATTTGCATTTCTCTGATGACCAGTGATGATGAGCATTTTTTCATGTGTCTGTTGGCTGCATAAATGTCTTCTTTTGAGAAGTGTCTGTTCTTATCCTTTGCCCACTTTTTGATGGGATTGTTTTTTTTGAAGACTTTTTATCTCAGGCATCTAGGTAACTTCTTTTCTCACCTCGTTCCTATCTTTCTGCAAAATTTACCTTTACTACCAGGCCTACCTTGATCACCCCTTTTAATTGCAACTGACTGTCTACACCTGACACATCCATTTGTTCCCACTGTGCTCTTGTTATTGTTGTTTAATTATACTTAGCACCCTCTAGCATGCTACATAGATTAGTTATTATCTTTATTATTTATTGTCTGGATCTCAATAAAAGCCTGAATAAAAGCCTCATGAGATGAGGGTTTTGTCTGCTTCGTTTACTAATAGATCCACATCTCCTAGAATAGCCTGGATATTTAGCATGTGGTCAGTAAATTTGTTAAATGTACAATATTTACTAAATGCCAAATTTACACAGATTGAGAATTTGACTTTTGACCCCTAAACAATTGACTATTTTGCCCTCTAAAACAGCGCACAGGAAAATCTTGCTCTAAATTTCTTATTATAGTCTCTGGGCAGGGAGTATATGTAGCTTTTCTTACATATAAGGATCACATGCATTTTGTCTGAACTTTTCATTTATTATGATGTTTATACTTTTATCCCAGCCTACCCTGTTATATTTAAGGTAAACAGTAATGTTTTCCTAACTGTGAACCATGATCAATATACATTCCTGCCTTCATGAATATAATTTTGACATTTCATCCAGTAATCTTTAGTCATGGTCAACAAAGTCAGGAAGGATTGAATTGAACACTATTCAAACAGTTTTCTTCGATTGCTGAGATTGTCAGAGACAATTAAACCTCAAATGACTCTAAACCCAAGGGCCTTTGAAAATCCCTTCTGAGTCGATATGTAACATCTCATATTTTTTTATTCTGCTTCTGCAATTGATTTTATGCAGTCAAGTTTCCTGTGAGTTGAAAGCTCACACCTAACTGAAAATGATCCACACATAAGAATCTTGGGCTTTGTTCAAAATGTGCCAAGAGAACTTAGAATTTGAGTTGCGATACTAGAAACAATTTAACTCATTATCCTCTTTTTCTGTTTTTTTTTTGTTTTGTTTTTTTGTTTTTTTGAGACGGAGTCTCTCTCTGTCGCCCAGGCTGGGAGTGCAGTGGCGCAACCTCGGCTCACTGAAAGCTCCGCCTCCTGGGTTCATGCCATTCTCCTGCCTCAGCCTCCCCAGTAGCTGGGACTACAGGTGCCTGCCACCACTCCCGTCTAATTTTTGTATTTTTTTTAGTAGAGACACGGTTTCCCCATATTAGCCAGGATGGTCTCGATCTCCTGACCTCGTTGTCCACCCGCCTCAGCCTCCCAAAGTGCTGGGATTACAGGCGTGAGCCACCGCACCCGGCCCAATAGATGTTACTGAGAATCGGCTAGTGCTTGGCTCCACTGGAACTGAGGGGGAGGGGTACAGCTTTTCCACTGTTCCATTTGTTTGGCTGGAGTAGGGCAGCCATTGCTAAAATAGATTTCTATTATTAAGCACCCATTTTCCAGATCTTCGGCTACAGAAAACAAGTTTATTTTTTCTGTGACTTTTGGTGATTTGGGGTTGGAGATTCTGTAGTACGCTGTTTGTGACATATCGAAGTGATAAGAAAACACAGGAAACTCATTGTTATGTCGTTCTTCAAGTCCAAAGGTGCCTAGGCAACCCAACTTCTTTCTGCCGGCCAGAGTCTTCTTATGCTTGTTTATCTGTTGTGTTATATTTAGGGCTGTAGTTATAAGAGGGAGGACCTGGAAGAAGGAGAGGCTTCTCCATCTTAGATGAAACTAGAAATCTCCTGCTCTGCTATGTTCTTTAAGTGTAAACAATTAAGGGTCACCAGGCAGAGTAGGGGTTGATTGTTTTATATTAAACCTTTCCAATTTCTATAAATCAAATAAAATAGGCTTACATGTGTCAGGATTAGATTAAGTTTTTGATGGCCCTCTTTCCATTCCTACACAGTCAGCAAAAATGGGAACAAAATAAAGATCAGATTATTTTCACACTCCATTGCTTTTTCCTTTTAATTTCTTCCTTAAATAATAATGCCCACCCAGAGATCCTAACTGTGCTAAACACCTAGACTTGTTATTTTGCTACTTTGTGCATCCAAGGGGATTCAACTTGCTTTGAGGCACAAATAAATACCTGTCTGTGCTTTTGTTTTAAATCCCCATCTATGCAACATTTCAAGTCTCACATTTGCTCTTTATGCAGTTTCATTCCAGCTTACTGCTGCCAAATTATTTAGGAATTTAAAAAATAATAATGTTTTCAGTTATTTAAAGTTAAGTACCCCCGTTATCCACAAGACCCTTGAAACCTGCAAATAATAGACCACTATGAGATGGAAGGTGCTTCCTGTGAAGAGTTACTATGTATTAACCCTTTTTCTTAGTCCTGGATATTGCAGTCTCTGAACCCTGAGGGCCCAAAAGCATGGCACTTTCCTTGTCTCCCACTATCTTGATCTTAATAGTGACTGAAATGAGTAAGGAACAACTCTGAGAGCCAATCTTGTGGCCCCCAGGTTCCAAAAGTGCTGTCGGCATCTGTGGGGTTATGTGAAATGACAGTAAAGGTAGCTCAGTCACATCTGAGTAGAAAACAAACTCCTCGCTTTTTCTTCCATTTCTGTATATTGCCTTTGCTTACACCCCTCCAAATCCAACATGACTTATTTTCCTCACAAATTTGGTAATATTTTCAAGTGCTCAGCCCCAAAAGGTGCCAGCAATTAATGATAGGGTTTCATAGAAATGATTCTTTAGCTCCTGCTCCCCAGTTCATGTGCTCTGCTCCCTAAGAATAACTTAGAGTGGCCAAAATTTTATAATACTGTGAATGTGTAACATGATTTTGTGAAAAAGAGGTATGTGGCAGGCTTGCACAAATATCCAACAAGCTTTTATGTTTAAAAGTCATTTAAAAACACTATTTAGGCCGGGCGCGGTGGCTCACGCCTGTAATCCCAGCACTTTGGGAGGCCAAGGCGGGCGGATCACGAGGTCAGGAGATCGAGACCATCCCGGCTAAAATGGTGAAACCCCGTCTCTACTAAAAATACAAAAAATTAGCCGGGCGTGGTTGCGGGCGCCTGTAGTCCCAGCTACTTGGGAGGCTGAGGCAGGAGAATGGCGTGAACCCGGGAGGAGGAGCTTGCAGTGAGCCGAGATCCCGCCACTGCACTCCAGCCTGGGCGACAGAGCGAGACTCCGTCTCAAAAAAAAAAAAAAAACACTATTTAAATTCATACTAAGATTTTACCAATAAATAGCTATAACTAAGAGCTTAAGTATACATTTCTTCAATGTGCTTCATATAAAATTATAAGTCACCAATCTGTATCTAATAGAATGCATAATTATAAAAAACAAGTGCATAAACCCAATTCATCAAAGCTTAATAGTAAAATCCAGACACCAATGCCTTTTGTAATGAAAAACCTGTAATACTTTCCTATGTATGAACCAATATTTACATTTTAGAACTATATTTGGAGTTGAAAATGAACCCTCATCCATATATACAAAGACTCCATTAATAAAGACACAACTGTTTGTGTCTTTACACAAACAGTTATAAAGACAAACTGCTAACATAGCAGTTTGTAGAGTCAAACGCTGAAGAGTAGTTTCTCAGAGACCACATTCCCTTACCTAAGTTGTGTGTATCAGAGTCACCCTGGAAGGCTGAATAGACAGGGCCCAAGAGGTCATATAATCCAGACCTCATTTGCAGATGAGGAAACTGTGCTTAGAGAAGGTAACTGGCTTGGCCAAGGTCACGAAACCAGTTAATCTTGAACTAAAATCAATATCTCTTCTGTTTTAGACCAA
The DNA here is from genome assembly GCF_000001405.40 of Homo sapiens. Classification (NCBI taxonomy): domain Eukaryota; kingdom Metazoa; phylum Chordata; class Mammalia; order Primates; family Hominidae; genus Homo; species Homo sapiens. The sequence continues at coordinate 35,418,859 of NC_000023.11, forward strand.
TGCTATTTTCATTATATGAGTGGTACTCACATTTTAGTGGTACATCAGAATCACCAGGAAGACACGTTAAAATGCAGACCACCGGCTGCTGCCACCCTCAAAGTTTCTAATTCAGTTGATCTGGAGTGGAACCCAGGAATTTACCTTTCAAACCGATCCCATAGTCTTGGGCACAATTCATTGAGAACCACTACATTGCAGCATTTTTATTTTATATTTCTATACTATTTTACCTTTCATTTCTTTTTTAATTGTTATAATAAATATAAAATTGACCATCCTAATCATTTTAAGTGTACAATTCAGTGATATTACAGACATTCATAATATTGTGCAACCATTACCACCATCCATCTCCATAACTATTGTCATCTTCCAAAACCAAAACTTTGTACTCATTAAACAATAATTCCCCACCTCTGTCTTTCCTCAGCCCTTAGCATCCACCATTATACTCTCTGTCTCTATGATTTTGACTACTCTAACTACCTCATTTAAGTAGAATCCTACAGTATTTGTCTTTTTGCGTCTGGCTTATTTTATTTACCACGATATCCCCCAGGTTCATTCATGTTGTAGCATATGTCATAATTCCCTTCCTTTTTAAGGTGAAAAATATCCCATTGCATGTATATACCACATTTTGCTTATCCATTCATCAACTGATGGACACTTGGGTTGCTTTCACGTTTTACTACTGTGAACACTGCTGCCATGAACACACCTGTACAAATATCTCTTTGAAACTCTGCATTCAATTCTTGTGGGTAAATACGCAGAAGTAGAATTGTCGGATCATATGGTAATGCTATTTTTATTTTTTTCTAAGGAATTGCCATGCTGTCTTTCCACAGTGGCTGTATCTTTTTACATTTCCACCAACTGTGCACAAGAGTTTTAATTTTTCTACATCCTCACCAACACTTGTTGTTTTCTGTTTTACATTTTTTATGGCAGCCACCTTAGTGGGTGTGAGGTGGTAACTTACTGTACTTTTGATTTGCATCTTCCTAATGATTAGTGATGTTGAACATCCTTTCATGTGCTTATTGCCATTGTGTCTTCTTTAGGGAAATGTATATTTAAGTCGTTTGCCCATTGTTTAAGTGAGTTGATGGTTGTTGATGTTGTTATTAACTTTTATGTACTGTTTTACTTTTTTCTTGTTGTTTTTTTTTGAGATGAAGTCTCACTCTGTTGCCCAGGCTGGAGTGCAGTGGTGTGATCTAGGCTCACCACAACCTCTGCCTCCCAGGTTCAAGCGATTCTCCTGCCTCAGCCTCCCGAGTAGCTGGGACTACAGGCACGTGCCACCATGCCGGGCTAATTTTTGTATTTTTAGTAGAGACAGGGTTTCACTATGTTGCCCAGGCTGGTCTCAAACTCCTGACCTCATGATCCTCCCGCCTTGGCCTCCGAAAGTGCTGGGATTACAGATGTGAGCCACCACACCCGGCCTGCTTTACTTTTAAAGAAGTTTTTTTTTTTTTCTTTTTTTTAAATTTTATATTTTGGAGAATTTCAAGAATATAGAAAAGTACACACAAGAGTAAAAGGAATCCTCATAAATGTGTCAAGCACCAACAACTGTCTAACAATGGCCAATTTAAAGGACTTAACATATTTATTTTTTTCACCACTTTTCTCTGAGAGACGAGTATCCTAATATATTCCAAATATCTGATAAGAAAATGTCTGGTATTATTATTCTAGTAATTTTTATTCTGTAATGTTATTTAATGTAAACTTCTTTACAACTTCAAGAAAAGTGGGGGAACAGTGGTTACTGGCTTCCATATTACAACGAAGCAAATGGAGTCTGAGATGGTTATTAAAAGACGCATCAAAAACCCAAACTGAAGTCTGACTCCAGAACTCACCTTGCAAAGTGTCATCATTCAATTGCTCCAATTAAAGTCAAATTTATCTGATTTTAAGGAAAAAGCATATTACTGAAATATTTGTATATGTGTAGCCAGTAATGGTGACATACCAATAGCACTTGTGGACAAATGTTAAGTGCCTGGTTGCCCAGGATGATTCTAACCTCTTGATGGAGTGCAGGATTACTGCATTTTTAGTCCAACATCCAACATGGTTCATTGCTATCAAGATTTCGACACCACTATCCACCTTACTTTTTATGCCAGAGTATGGAGTTTTCCCCTCATTTAGGGCCTTATTCTTGCAGAGACTCTACCTTGCTTTCAGAAATGTGGATAGTCTTTGTCATTTATGTGCCTCCAACAAATTATGAGGTTTAACGAACTATTAAGAGCTTTTTATATGCATGCTTATTTATAGTAGTACATGTCTCTAAATGGTTTGCTGTACTATAACATATTCATATACATTATGAGTAATTCACATGAAGTTATGATCTGATACCCCAAAACATAAAATATTAAACATTTATGTGTACCAAATAAAATGCCACTCAACATATCTTATGAAATCTCATTCTAAACCTCTAACCCTTACACTGTTCTAACAGTTGTCATAGTTTAAGACATAATTGCTTTAGTTAGTATGATAATGTGTTTCTATGATTATTTGTGACAGACATCATACTCTAGACTTGATTAGCATAGAATAAAAAACAAAACATTGGAGAAGCTCTACTTGAGATGAAGCTCAGCAGTTATAGTACTTTCTCACTGCTGACCTGTGGCTTTTAAAAATGGGATTCTGGTTTCTTTCTTTCACGTTTATTAATTTGGGATAATAATGAATGGTTTTAGTGAAGTTTGTGAGTTGACAGCTATTTTATCTAAGATCCATGAAGAAAAGTAAGAATATTTACTTTATTATTCTTTTTATATTAAAAGTTGTGCATGCAATCCAGATTGTTAATTAATATATAAAATGGTGTTTAACATTATTAGTCATCAGGATTGCAAGTTCAAACCTTAGTAGGAGATTACTGTACCACCAACAGGATAGTTAAAATTAAAAGAACTGCCAATGTCAAGTGTTGGCAAGGATTTAGAGTGACTGGAACTCTTGCACGTTGTTGGCTAGGGGTAAATTGGTAAAAAACACTTTGGAAAACTGTTTGCTGGCAACTAGTATAGCTAAAAAACACTCTAGGATTCAGTAATTCCACACTTGGCTATATATACAAGAGAAATGCATACACATATGCACCAAAATACATGGAAAAAAACCTCATAATGTGAATGGATAAATATATGTTATGTATTCATACAATGGGATATAACTCAGCAATAATAGTTTTATGATTTCTGAAAATACATGGATGAATTTCACATAAATAAAATTGAGCAAAAGAAGGCCAAGCACAAAAGAGGACAAACTATAATTCCATTCATATCGAGTTCAAAAACAAACAAAACTTTTGGAGTATATAAACTAGGAGTGGGCACAGGAGAGCTTTCCTGGGTGCTGGATATGTATCTTGATTTTGGTGCTGATTTCATAGATGTAAACATTTATCAAGCTTTCTTAAGATTCATTTACTTACTAAAATATATACACTTAAAATAATTGAAATAAGAATCTGTATAACCAACATTGTCAAAATGCCCCGTTAAAGCAACTTCCGCACTGGCTGATTCAAAGTGTTTGACTTTAGTCCCAGAGAATGAAAGCTTTTCTGAGTCACCAGATCATGTTCCTGTAGGTTCTACTTGGATAATACATTTTAAATGCTGTGTTCAGGAGTAACTGATGCTTAAATATAGATTTAGTGTCATCACTTTTTATTATAAAATGCTAAATGGAAGTAGAAACATCTCATGACCCACATTTTCAGTTTAATAGTCCTAAACCATCATTTTCTATCCTAAACATATAAGTCAATAACTTAAAAACAATTAACAGTCTATATATATATATATCTTGTATATATTATATATCATCATAACTTACACAACTCCTCAAAAGCAATAATTTAAATAAGTACTAGATTTATGCATTATTGAAAGAACTTTGGTTAAGAAAATATTCCAAATTTTTCATGAGATTTGAGAAAGTAAATGTCATATACATGTCAGTTCATTTTTTCATATACATGTTTTTTTACACATATTCTATCAGTGTTTCAAAATATAATATGCAGACCCAGAAGAAAGGTACAGACCCCATTTTTAAACCATACTCTGGACAGGACTATTTTCTACTAGGAATGGACTACCCTATGAAGGCAAACAAGACAGGAAGGCACTCTGGATCCTGAAGCGATTCTGTCCACCAAAACATCTTCTGAGGTGTTGTATTTTGCTTTTGCTAAAGTTTTGCACAGACCTCTGTGAGTGGTTGTCCCAGATACAAAATCACACAGGAAATTAATTCCTAAGGATGAAGCTGAAGTCACAGGCTTTAGTTATCTTTGGAAACCTCAGAATGCTTTTTCAGCACTGGCTTTCTGATCTTTGAAATGGAGCAAATCCTTGTTCCCTGAAAATGACTTTTGTATTAGAAGACATTCTTGAATATACTTTTTCTTTGGAGGAGTGTCTGTTCCTTACATGAAAACCTTGACATATTTTTGAGTGTGTCAGTGCTCCAATTAAAACATAGTGTCACAAGCCAGGTGCCACTGTCAATATTGCGATGGCTGAAGTAAGGTAAAATATAAAAGAAATTTCATGACAGTAGAAGTGGTAGAGCCAGAAAGTGAATTGAATTCATTTAGAATTAATCTTTTATGGATCAGGGAATTTTTTCAGAGTTTCTTAAAAAGGAGTTAGCATTCAATTAGCAACAAACTCTAATCTGTGTCAGCAATAAGACACTCTTTAGCAATTTATTTCAGTGCAAAAGGTCACTGCAGAGAAAATGCAATTATTGAATATCTAAGAGAGAAATAAATATTGAGGCAGAATTAGGATTTTTTAATAGAATTATGGATATTAGACTTGATTCTAAACTTTATTTAATCAAAGCACTAGATTATTTACTTTGGTGAGTAAGCTTATAATCAGGAACAATGAAATTATTTTTTGAGAACATTAAAGCTAACATATTTTTGCAAAGTTGTAGCAATGATTTAAGTATAGTTGCTTGGAGCTATTGTACAAAGATAATGATAGACGCTGGATGTGGTTTCCTAAACCCATGTGTGGGACAGGATCACTACCAAACATGAAGCGAGGCCTGGCCTCAAATGCTGGGAAATCTTTGAGAGGCCATTATTCAGAAGTTCATCACTTCAGAGGGTCCTTCACCTTGACTGCATTGGGTTTATTCTCAGACCCCTACACATCAGAATTTCTCTTGGGTAGTCAAGGAGAGCAGCATATAGTAGAAAACTCCCAAAGATGTCTGTGAATCAGGACTTCAATGGAGACAAAGCTACCATTTCAAATTGAATCTCAGCCTAAGTCATACACCACATACAAAAATTAACTCAAAATGGATCACAAATTTAAATAAAGCTTAAAACTATAGAACTGCTAGAAAAAAGTAAAAATAGTTATGATCTAAAGCTAAGTAGTGTTCCTAAACTTGACTAAAAGCACAATTCAGAAAAACAAATAACCTAAATTTCTTTAAAATTAGAAAATTTTCTTCTGTGACACGTTATGTTAAGAGAATGAAAACACAAGCTACAAATGGAAAGAAAACAATTAGAAACCAAACCATATATTTATCAAAGAACTACTACTGTCTACAGAATATTAAAACTCTCAAAACTCAGTAGTAAAAAAATAACAATCAAACAAAATCTAATCTAAGTGATTAGAAATGCTAAAATACATGAAGAGACGTTTTACTAAAGAGGATATATAGAGAGGGTAAATAAGTATAAATAAGTATATAAAAAGATGTTGAACCGCATTAAAAATTATGAAAATTCATTTTAAAACCACAGTGAGTGCCAGGCGTGGTGGCTCATGCCTGTAATGCCAGCACTTTGGGAGGCCGAGGTCGGCAGATCACCTGAGGTCAGGAGTTCAAGACCAGCCTGACAAATATGGAGAAACCCCATCTCTACTAAAAATACAAAGTTAGCCAGGCATGGTGGCGCATGCCTATAATCCCAGCTACTTGGGAGGCTATGGGAGGAGAATTGCTTGAACCCAGGAGGCGGAGGTTGCAGTGAGCCGAGATCGTGCCATTGCACTCCAGCCTGGACAACAAGAGAGAAACTCCATCTAAACAAACAAACAAACAAACAAACAACAACAAAAAAACAAAACAGAGATTCTAATATTCCCCATCAGAATGGCTACAATAAAAAATAGTGAAAATAACAAATGTTGTTAAGGATGTGAAGAAACCAGATCACAGAAATGTTGCTGGTGAGAATGTAAAATGTCACAACCACTCTGGAAAGATTTTGGTGGTTTCTTATTAAAAAAAAAGCAAATACCCTACAATCTAGCATTTACACTCTTGAACATTCATCACCAAGAAATGAAAAGTTCTGTTCAAATACCTGTACATGAAAGTTCATAGTAGCCTTATTTGTAATAGTCAAAAGTGGAAACAACTCAGATGTTATTCAGCAGGTGAATGATTACAGAATATTTGGTATATGTACCATGGAATACTACTTAGCAATAAAAGGAAATAAACCACTGATACACACAGCAGCCTGGATGAATCTTCAGAGACTTATTCTGAGATAAAAACAAGCCAATCCCCAAATGCCACTTACTCTATAATTCCATTTATATAACATTTTTTAAATGACATAATATTAGAAATGGAGAATAGATTAGTGGTTTTCAGGGTTTAAGGAGGGGGTAGAAATTGGAATGTGGTAAGCTTGACTATAAAAAAGCAACATGAAAGATAAATGTGGTGCTAGAACTACTTTTTCTCTTGACTGTATAGATATAAATATTCTGGTTATGATATTCTACTATAGTTTTGCAAGATGTTATCATTGGGGAAATTGGACAAAGAGTACATGGAATCTCACTTTTTAAATTGTACCACTGCATATGAATCTAAAATTACATTAATTTGTTTTAAAATACCTTAAAATAATATTAATACATGTGTTTTTAAGTGTAACAGATATTATGGGCAGAAATATTACAAATGAGTAATACCAAGATTCTCTTAGCTGAAAATACTATAAATCTCTACTAAAAAGTATGTCTCTCGGCCGGGCACGGAGGCTCATGCCTGTAATCCCAGCACTTTGGGAGGCCGAGGTGGGCGGATCACGAGGTCAGGAGATCAAGACCATCCTGGCTAATACGGTGAAACACCGTCTCTACTAAAAAAATACAAAAAATTAGCCGGGTGTGGTGGCGGGCGCCTGTAGTCCCAGCTACATGGGAGGCTGAGGCAGGAGGATGGCGTGAACCTGGGAGGCAGAGCTTGCAGTGAGCCAAGATTGAGCCACTGCACTCCAGCCTGGGTGACAGAGCGAGACTCCGTCTCAAAAAAAAAAAAAGAAAAAGTATGTCTCTCAGATATATAAATAGGTCACCATATACGTATTTGTTCTCTCTCCATCTGGGTATATACTTCACCATCTCACCCCCAACATGGTCTGACAATGGCAAAATGTGGAGACCATCAACCTTCTATATTTCTTACCCATATTCCAATATTGTCATGTTGCTTCTTGATATGGTTTGGATTTGTGTTCCCACACAAATCTCATGTAAAATTGTAATCCCCAAATTTGGAGGAGGAACCTGGTAGGAAGTGATTGGATCATGGGGGTGGATTTCCCCCTTGCTGTTCTCGTCATAGTGAGTTCTCACAGGATCTGCTTATATAAAAGTGTGTAGAACCTCCCACTTTGCTCTCTTCCTCCTGCTCTGGCCATGTGAGACATGCCTGCTTCCCTTCCACCAAGATTGAAAGTTTCCTGAGGCCTCCCCAGACATCCTTCCTGTATAGCCTGCAGCACTGTGAGCCAATTAAACCTCTTTTCTTTATAAATTACCCTCTTTCCCATATTGCTTTATAGCAGTACAAGAACAGACTAATACACCTCTTGAACCACATCCAGAAGAAACTTCATCTGGTAAACTGACACAGAGTAAAGAATTAGTGCCTAAACTTTAAGTATAAAGGAGAAATGTAGCATAAGAATCCAGGTATAGAGGAGGGTGGAGCAAGATATTAGACTAGAAAACTCTGTCAATTGTACATCCCACAAGGACACAAATTTAAATAAATGTATACACACACACACACACACAAACACCTTCATGAGAATAAAAAATCAGGTGATCCCTCATAGTACCTGGTGTTAACTTTGTATCAATTGAAGTGGTACTAAAGAGGTACGAAAAAGTCTTGAATCACCATCACCATCCCTCTCCCATCCCCAAGCAGCTGCAAAACAGAGAGCTTCTCTAGGTTTGGGGGAAGGAGAATGCAGCAATTATGAGGCATTGAACTCAGTGCAAGGAGGGAGCCTTTAAACCAGCCTTAGCCAGAGGGGAATCACTAATCCTAGCAGTCAGCACTTGAGTTCCCTTAAACCCTGTCATCAAGGGCTACAGTGCTCTGTGTCTCTAAGTAAACTTGAAAGGCAGTCTAGATCATAAGGAATACAACTGCTTCCCCTTCATCTTCCACCATGATTGCAAATTTCCTGAGGACTTTCAGAAGCAGAAGCCATTATGTTTCCTGTACAGCCTGCAGAAGCATCAGACAATTAAACCTCTCTTCTTTATAAATCACCCAATCTCAGGTACTTTGTTACAGCCCTGTGAAAATGGACTAATACATCACACAATGGGATAAAATATTTGCTAACTACCCATCTAACAAGGGATTAATAGCCAGAATATATAAGGGGCTCAAACAACTCAATAGGAAAAAATATAATAATCCAATGAATAAATATTTGAATAGACATTTCTCCAAAGAAGACATACGAATGGCAAACAGGCATATGAAAAGATGCTCAACATCACTGATCTTCAGAGAAATGCAAATCAAAACGACAATGCGATATCATCTCACCCCAGTTAAAATGCCTTAGACCCAATAGACAAGCAATAACAAATGCTGTCGAGGATGTGGAGAAACAGAACCATTAAATGATGTTGGTGGGAATGTGAATTAGCACAACTATTATGGAAAACAGTTTGGAGGTTCCTCAAAAACCTCAAAATAGAGCTACTATATGATTCAGCAACCCCACTGCTAGGCATATACCCAAAAGAAAGGAAATCAGAATATCAAAGAGCTATCTAAACTTCCATGTTTATTGCAGCATTACTCACAATACCCAAGATTTAGAAATAACCTAACTGTCCATCCACAGATTAATTAACAAATAAAATGTGGCACATATACACAATGGTGTTCTTTTCAGCCATAAAAAAGTAATGAGATTCTGTCATCTGCAACAGCATGGATGAACTGGAGATTATTATGTTAACTGAAATAATCTAGGCACTGAAAGACAAATATTGTGTGTTTTCACTTATTTGTGGAATCTAAACATGAAAACAATTGAACGCATGGCAATAGAGTAGAAAGATGTTAACAGAGGCTGAGAAGGGTAGTGGCAGCATGGGGGTGGGAGGGTAGGGAGGATGGTTAATGGGTACAAAAAAAAATTTACAGTGAATGAATAAGACCTACTATTTGATAGCACAACAGGGTGACTATAGTCATAATAATTGAATTTTGTGTAATAAAAAAGATAAATGCTTGAGTGAATGGATACCTCATTCTCCATGATGTGATTATTTCATATTGTATTCTTGTATTAAAACATCTCATGTATCCCATAAATATATACACGTACTATGTACCCACAAAAGTTAAAAAAAATTAGATATAACACAGGAAACCCAAGGATAAGTAATACAGATATGAATATGTCCCTTGAGTGTCATCAATAGTCAAGGCAGATCATAGCCTCTCTAGTTTATCTCTCTCTGTAAGTTTGCCTTATTTGTCCCTCTGAAGTCAGGCACTATTGATGTTTTGTCTTCTGCATACATTGCCATCACACAGGTTCAAAATTTACTTAACTGAATAGTTGAGACAAGAACTCAGGAAGATAGACTCTTCCATCCCAATGCCAAATTCCCAGAGGAGAAAAGTTGACATTTTTCCAGGATCAGTTGCCTTCCCTTTATCTGATTGCCTGTGAGTCATTTGGGAGGATGAACATAAATATTAAGGACTAGAGTCCAGTGATATTTGTCTTCTGAAATAGATAGTGAACAACATGAACAAATTTATAAGGAGTGGATTCTAGGCATGAATGTGGCAGATAACTTTACATGAGCCCTTTCTTTATATCTCACAAACACCACTGCTTGAATAGCCTATACACAGAGTGGGGATAGTCTAGTCTATCTGTTATACAGATGTCAAATGTCTCGACATTAGTATTAGAAGATAAGAGTCATTTATCAGCTCTTGTTAGTACCTCTTTCATATTCCCTCAACATTCAATGTTCCAGTACTTAACAACCCAACTCTACTACAATTTCTACCTAAAGGCTTTTTTTTTCACCCAGTATGAGTTAACACCCTAAGAAAGTTAATGCTCTTAGGGAGCAGCCCTTAGCAATAACAAATGGTAAGGGGAGAGTAAATACTCCAGATTACTGCTGGGAAAGAAGGGGGATAAATTTGAGGCATATTTGATCCTGGATTACAAAGTTCCCCAGAAGAAGTGGGCCTCAGTTACCAACAGCACTAACCTAACAACAACTTCTTTTTTTTTTTTTTTCTTTTCTCTCCTTCTTGGCTCGTTCTCCCAATGGCACTTCCTGCAATAACTACCAAAAACTATCTGCCTTCAAATTTCCATCTAAGTGTTTTCTTCTTTGGGAATGCAATGTAAGACTTGCCAAACAGCCTGTTTTCAGGGCCGGCATAGTGGAAGGGAACAGGAAAGGCCACTACTTGACAAAGAAAAGAGAGATAAGCAAGAGCCATAAGAAAGCTTTATGCACTTAAGGCAATGACTTCATCATAATGGAATACATTAATGTAGCAAAATTACACTGTACTCCATGAATATATACAAATAAAAATAAATAAAGTGCACCCTGCTAAGTCGGGGCACAGAAAGTAAATATGGCTTAAACACTCGACAAAGATCTGATCTGTGCAGAACAGGATAAAATAATTGTTGGAGAAGGCGGGGGCAAAGTCCTCAGACAGACAATGGAGCAAGCTTAGTAAAAGACTAGCTGAGAAAGACCTTCCCTTAGAATTTTAGCAGACTGGAACACAATGAGAGCAGGGTCCCCTGCTGGCTACCTGGAGACACAGGATTCCCCACCTGTGGTTAAGTGACTTGTGCCCTATTAGAGAACCTTCTCAGCTGAGATCCAGGAGAGTGAATTAATCTATCATATAATCTTAGTTCATCTGTATAATTTCTAACCCACCTAAGTATGAGGATTCAGCCTTACTCACAAGTTAGATCACCGGCTAATATTTTGCTTTAGGTTAATGAGGCTCTTATTAGAGAATGAAGGAAACAGCTCCTTGTAGATATAATTTTGAAATAAGGCCCTCAGCTTAAAAGCTCTATAAACCATATTTTAACACTTCAAAATGGAGATTTACTCAGAAACCTTTTACATGATAAGCAAAAGTATAAAGATTCAACAATTTCATTTCAGGGATAATCTGTTAACACAGGAAGAAAAGGGTATAAATATCACCTAACTAATTCTATGATGTAGAGACCAAGGCTCCTCAAGCGATAGCTGATGAGAAAATTCCAGTTCCAACATCCTTAACAAGTTGATTGAAAAGTTTTACGTAACATTTTATATGCTAAGCATCTTTTGAAACTGGTGACAGAAAGAGTCAAACTCTGTAAAATATTTGAAGAGATTTATTCTGAGCCAAATATGAGTGACCATGGCCTGTAATACAGCCCTCAGGAGGTCCTGAGAACATGTTCCCATGGTTTTGTATATTTTAGGGAGGCATGAGACATCAATGAAATACATTTAAGAAATACACTGGGCTGGGCATGGTGGCTCACGCCTGTAATCCCAGCACTTTGGGAGGCCAAGGTGGGCAGATCACGCCACTGCACTCCAGCCTGGCAACAGAGCAAGACTCCGACTAAAAAATAAAATAAATAAATAAATAAATAAATAAAATACATTCATTTGGTTCAGAAAGACGAGACAACTGAAAGCAGGGGCTTCCAGGTTACAGGTAAATTTAAACATTTTCTGGTTGACAATTGGTTGAGTTTATCTGAAGACCTGGGATTAATGGAAAGAAGTGTTCAGGTTAAGATAAAGGATTGTGGGGAGCAAGTTTTATTGTGCAGAGGAATCTCTCAAATAGCAAACTTCAGAGAGAGAGCAGGTTGTAAAATGTTTCTTATTGGACCTAAAACGGTGCTTGGCTCTTAGTTGATTATCTCCTGGATTAGAAAGGAAGGAAAACAAATGGGGAAGGGGATTCTTTATAGAATGTGGATTTTTCCCACAAGAGACTTTGCAGGGCAATTGCAAAGTATGGCAAGGAAATATATTTTGGGGTTAAATATTTTTTCTGTCTCATAATTTTATGCCACAGTCAGATTGAAAAGTAAGTCACAATACATAGGGTCAAATAAAACCTATCTGATGAGAATTTGTGGTTTATAGGGCATGGCTCCCTAGACCTCTTAGGTAGGAATTTGGGCAAGATAAAAAAAGGAGCTTATTCCTCAAAACAGAGCAAAAAGAATATTAGTCACTGATGATAACAGATATGCTTAAATCTGATGATGAAAGGAGTCAAGCTCTGTAAAATATTTGAAGAGATTTATTCTGAGCCAAATATGAGTACCATGGCCTGTGACACAGCCCTCAGGAGGTCCTGAGAACATGTGCCCAAGGTGGTCAGGGTGCAGCTTGGTTTTATATATTTTAAGAATGCATGAGACATCAATCAAATACATTTAAGAAATACATTGGTTTGGATCAGAAAGGCAGGACAACTCAAAGCAGGGGCTTCCAGGCTATAGGTAAATTTAAACATTTTCTGGTTGACAATTGGTTGAGTTTGTCTAAAGACCTGGGATCATTAGAAAGGAAATGTTCAGGTTAAGATAAAAGACTGTGGACACCGAGGTTCTTTTGAAGTCTTATAGTGGCTGCCCTTGGAGACAATAGATGACAAATGTTTCCTATCGAAGTCTTTAAAAGGTGCCAGACATTTAGTTAATTTCTCCAGGATTGGGAAGGCCTGGAAGAAAAAGATCTAGCTATGTTAATACAGATTCTTTACAGATGCAGGTTTTCCCCCACAAAGGATGGCTTTGCAGGGCCATTTCAAGATATGGCAGAGAAACATGTTTTTGAGTAAAACATTTTTATTTTCTTCCTTGTCTCGTAATGTTATTCCAGAGTCAGATTGGAAAGTAGGTAACAATATATAGGGTTAAGTAAAACCCATCTGATGAGAATTTATGGTTTATAGGGCATGACTCCCCAGACTCGTTAGACAGGAATTTGGGCAAGATAAGAAGAAAAAAAAAATCAGTGCATAGTCCTTAAATCTATGGAAATTCTACAGCCATTTCTACTTGGAAGTTGCAGGATTTCCTTTATTACTAAACTTAGAAAAATGCTGATGGAATGTGTAGTTAAAATTAACCTGGAAACACAGGTAAAAATAGCAAACTATATTCTTTCTTTGGTATAGCCTTTACTGTTCTATGAACTTGGCGATGATGGATTAACTACAAAAATAAAACATCAAAGGAACATAGACAAAATAAACACATCTTTATATACCAGAGACAAAATAGAAAGCTGGAGTGGTTAATGGAATTGAAGTAATATACTCCAAAGCAGGCAGTGGGAGATGCAGCTTCACTTCTTATAGGGTAAGAAAAGCTGGAGGTTTTCTGTGTGAAATGCAGAAATAAACTTGGCTTCACTGCTTAAATCCAGGAGCTATAATTCATTAAAGTAGGGTGAAAAATTGTAGACAACTTCTGCCTGAGGCTACAACTTATATGGAGATGCCATGCAATGTAAGCCTGAGGATACTGACATAGCCTCAGGACAGGACTGCCTGAGGCTCACTAACCAGTTCTGTATATCCTTCGCATCCCTGCCAGAGAGGAGTCCTATGACTTCCTTTTGAGAGCTACTTCTCAACTGAGGACCCTACAATATTCATGGAAATTAGCCTCATAATTGTTTTTTAGGAAGGAATGACATAAGAATGTAAAAGAAAAAACAATGCAAGTCAAATATATATATATGTATATATACACATATATATACACACATACACACAATCTATACATTTATTTTATATATATTTTATATATATAGAAAGGGATGCCTAGGTTATAATGATAGGAGTATAGAGAGCAAAGTTTTATCATGCCAATGAAGTCTCTAGGTAGCAGGCTTCAGAGAGAATAGATTGTAAATATATATATAAAATATATATATTATATATTATATATATATTATATATTATATAATATTTATATTATATATGTTATATTATATATAATATATATATAATATATAATATATTATATATAATATATATTTTATATATAATATATAATATATATTTTATATATATTATATATAATATATATTTTATATATATTATATATAATATAGTACATATAAAATATACTATATAAAATATGTAGTATATATAAAATATACTATATAAAATATATATACTATATATCATATACTATATAAAATATATATACTATATATTATATACTATATATATATATATATTTTAGCAGACTTAAGGTCTATGTTGATGTTAATGCTGGTCAGCTTTTTCTGAATTCCAAAAGGGAGGAGGGTATAATGAAGCATGTCTGCCCCTCCCTTCCCATCATGGCCTGAACTAGTTTTTCAGGTTAACTTTGGAATGCCCTTGGCCAAGAGAAGGGGTTTATTAAGATGGTTGAGGGGTGTTATAATTTTATTTTTACTTTACATTCTCCCCCTTCTGGCTAAGATTTGCCAGAGATAACATCAAGAGGCATCAAATTTTTATTTTGTCCCATAGCATTGCCGGGGTAATATGGCTGCCTGCCCTAGATCCCATCCTGGAATGGGATTCTTTGTGGCTGAGGAACATACAGTCAAAGGACTTACAGCAAATTAAATGTTCTAGGCCAGATAGGAATGGATGTGAACAGGCATTCATTACCCCTTAATTTTTTTTTTAAGTAAAAAGCCAAGAAATAAAAAACCAAAGGTGAGGTTACAAAAGTTACTTTTTTAACTTCTGTGCATTGAGCTACTGTAATGTTGATTTTAGTTGTGGACTTATAGCAATTAGCTATACAAAACATAAGCACTGTTCTGAAAAAAAAATTTCTTTAAATATATATCTGTACAACTCATAACTGGAAATATTATATCCAGGAGGCTTTCTCATGAGGTATCTTTATCCTTTCAGTAATTATTTACTTTTTATTCTACAGGAAGCAGGAAATTCTTTATGGTTGGAGCAGATGAAAAGGTGCCACATAATAGCTCAGAAGGCAAAATCCTTTGTTTTACCAGCTGTTTAGGCATCTGTGTACTCATCCTTGATGTGAAGGGTCTGAACTAATTCTGTCCCTCAAAACTGGCCCTTACAATCTCATGCACCCACCTCTTTCATGATAGTCTATCGGCTTAGAGGGAAGGTGCTGGTATAGTCTTAATAGCAGGGCATTTATAGTGAAAAACAGATCAGGCCCAGTGGCATGCCAAATGAGAGAGATTTGCATCTCTAGTTTTCAGAATATCATGATACTGGTTTCCTTGGAATTAAAACAAGGAGAGATAAGTAACATTAATATTTTGAAAATCGAAAGAGTATTTGTGTGTCAGAACAGAAAAAGGAAACTATTCAATCAGGCCACCAACTAAAAATACAAAGAAAAATTATAATCTGGTACTCTTGAGAGGGTTACTATAGCCAAGAAATAATACATGATTCAGTCTGCACTCAAAAACAAAAATCAGGACTGAAATTTAGTAATAAGTGTTACACTTTTCTATTTAAACAATTTCTCTCTCTCTCTAGCCCTTCTTTTCTATTAAAGAGAAATAACAGTAAGACCAATTTGTGTGCAAAGTAAGTTTTAGGCTTATTATACTTGGCCTGAATATTTGCATAAAGTGCAGCAGGAATTGATTGGCCATATAGGTTCCTTTTAAGTTGGGTTTGCTGGAACTTTACCTAAAAATATGTTATTCTACTGAAAGCCTTAGAAAAGTAACCAGTGTCTCCAATTTTCATATTTAAAAAAAAAACTCTTATGAAACTTATGCAAATAACTATATTGTCATAAATATCAGAATACTCACGAACAGATTCAGAATTTTGGAGATAAATTTGCTCACAGAAATATATTTTATTCAATTGCTCTAAACTATAAATAATTCAGACGAAAAAAATTTACTTGACTCTAGTGTGGCAGCTTCCAAACAGGATGTCATTTGTCAATCTTGGAACTGCTGTCCACAAGCCAAACAACTTTTGTTAGATGAGAGGTATCTATCAGGCACTGTAGAATCTAGCAGCTCCTCATATAGTAAGAATCAGTCCTAGAGGAAAAAGAGGCTCCTTGCTTATGAGTATTCTCCTCCTTGCATTCCCCAGGTAGTAAGATCCTATATAAAAAGGATTTGGGTCCCCAGCAGGGGATTGGGCCAAGGGATTCAGGACCTTTTCTATATCTTTATCTTAGTTGTCTCAACATTGCACCAGGCAATGTGAGCTTTCTCATAACCTTTGCCTTTTGACTTTTCTTAAATTTTCCAATCTGGGGCAAACAGTGTCTTAAGACCTTTGCTTTAACCACCTCAGCTTTTATTTTATCATTTCTTAATAACCATTCAAATACTTTCATCACTCCCTTTTGCCTTTCCCATTTTTTAAAATTATCCTCAATGTTTTATTTAAGCATCTGCAAGACATATGAAGGACAGCAAATTTGATAAGGCTACTCAAACAGTTGTATGATTCTGTGGAAGTAATGTTACCCAGAGTGCCCATGTAAAAGGCACCCCTTTAACCCCCAAATTTCCAATGACCTGAGTAATAGACATATTCAGCGGGAGAATATCCCAGACATGATAAAGCCAGTTCCACATGACTTGCATATGAAGCATATCAACTGCTTCATCTGGAGTACACCACTTGGTATTTTATAGGGAGAGATGGATAGTCCCCTTATCAGGGTAAACAGATGTTACAGTGGTGTTTATCTGATCCATTAGGCTGGTTGTTCCCTCAGGAATAATCTCCTGTGCATTTGGATCACATATACTCATCAGCAATTGTTTAATAGTGAGCACAACTGAAACACACTCTTTCATTCTGTACCATTTAAAATTAAGGATTTTAATAATTATATAACTAGGATTACTTAATTTAAACATAACTTTTAGATTTTAAATTGCTAGAGAGAATTGAGATTAAATTCATCTTAAAGTAATTTTTTTTCAATCCATTATAGTAAATTTTTCTCAGGAAGCCGATGATACCAATCTACAAACTAGAAAAACTCTTTTACATTATACCCTTTTGTTTTAAGAGTTACTTGGTTTTGACCTTTCCCCACATTGACTATCTTCATGGTAACCACAGGTCTCAGAGGTACCTTTTGTGGATAGCTTGGAGGCTTGTAGCCTGAGCTGGGACAGAGCCACATCAGGTCTTGGTCTGGTCTTAAGGACCAAGCAAGTACTTTTTTACTCTTATTTTAACTATTACAGATAATAAACCAAGAGATTGAATATTTTGCTTTTTACTTATTAGTTTGCACATCTGTAGGCATCCATTGAATGTGGGAGTATGATCCATCTCGAAATTCCACTGGCAACTTACCTTTAGTAACTGAATGCAGCCCAACTGCAGCTCCATATCGTGGGTGACCATGTGGCCACCCCAGAGTCAAGGATTCTCATCCCTCCATCTTTATATATTTCTCTCTATCCATTTAGTTTTATTTATATAATTTTTTCTTTATTTTAAGGCATTTTTAAATAGTCTATTAAATTTTAAAAATTACATTTTCTTTAGCAAAATCTACATCCTTGTGTTTTTATAAACTTTAGCAAAAATACATTTTATTCTCCTACTACTTTATGTCTTAGTAATCCAAATTCCCAATGGAAAAAAAACAAACTAGGATTTCTTAACTTAAACATAACATGACTTCCAGATTTTAAATTACTGGAGAGAGAATTGAGATTAAATTTACCAAATTAATCTTCCCAAATATTACTAGTCATGTGAACTACAAGGCATCTGACCTAGATTCTGTCAAATATGGTTAAGTATTAAATTCTTTAAGGCAATTGTTTAGAGCTCTTTCATACAGTTTGGTGTGAAACAGAACTTGGACATGTCATATGTAAACATATAGACATAGCAGACATACAGAAAAAAGCAAATCCAAAACATTTTTAATTTGCTTGTTTTCAAAAATTCTCTCCCTTACTTTAGAGTATTAATTTAAAAACATTACAGGAGCCAACAAAAGTTGAAAGAGAAAGTTTCCATTCAAGGCCTTCTCAAAAGACAGAAGCAACTGAAGCAGCAGGGTACAACTTCTGAGATATCAATCTGAATAATTTGAAGAAGAAACATATTTAAAAATTTAAAAATTAGGACAGGCACGGTGGCTCATGTCTGTAATCTCAGGACTTTGGGAGGCTGAGGTGGGCAGATCACGAGGTCAGGAGATTGAGACCATCATAGCCAACATGGTGAAACCCCATCTCTACTAAAATACAAAAAATTAGCTGGGCGTGGTGGCGCATGCCTTTAATCCCAGCTACTTGGGAGGCTGAGGCAGGGGAATCGCTTGAACCCGGGAGACAGAGGTTGCAGTGAGCTGAGATCGCGCCACCTGGTGACAGGGCAAGACATCATCTCAAAAAAAAATTAAAAATTAAAACTTCTTGCATTAAGAGTAACAATATTTTTAATAAAATCTTGTTCTCACCCATCCTTCAGTTTTATATGTGTATTTTTAATATGAAAGTCCAATTTTTAGAAAAATTATAATTTATTTCAATTATAGCCTCCATAATCACATAACATTTTTATAAATTTCTTTTATACTGATCTTATTACAACTTATAGAAACCATTCCTAACATGCTTGGACTTTCTGGTCACTAAATATCCATCTTTCTTGAACAACCCAGTCCCTTTTACTTTAGGAGAAAAAATTCACCATATAAAATTCTTTCTCATATAAAACTACTTTTCCTTTAAGCTTTATTATCAAAAATACCTTTTTATGTCTATAATTTTCTTTACATCTTTCTTATTTCCTGGTTCTTTTTACCTGGTTTTATATATAACCTTTAAATAAGCTCTGAATTAGACAAAAATTATTTACTTTTTAATAAGAACACATTTTTAGAAAGAATGTTTTCTTATACTGTAAGTTTATTTTTTAAATTGGAAAATAACCTGTCATTTAATGAAATGTCTATTATTTAATTTAACTTTAGATTCTAAATTATGACAAGTTCATTTACAATTAATTTCATTTACCTAATTATGTTATTTTAATAATTTAGCTAGATTATTTATAAAAACTGTGATAGTCATCATCTAAAATTATGTTCCTGTCTACCATTTTTATAGCCTGTGAATTTCAGGTGTTTATCTGAGTAAGATAAGCTCAGGATTAAATATGTGCTTATTTTACAAATAATTCAAGACGTAGCTGTTTCTATGAAACCAACAATATTAAATGTCTTATTTATCAAACATCACACAAGCAAAGATCATTCTGTTTTGGGCTGGGTTTACAGCTTTATAACTCTTATGCCAAATTTTGACACTATAGTATTTGACAGGGATAAGTATGAAATTGATTAATAAATGCAAACACAAAAGTATGTTGACAATTCTTAAGACATTTCTAATATTACTTTACCAACAATTTTAAAGCCAGTTTATTAAATATTTTACTTAAGTCATGTGAGCTTGAAAATCATTTGAGCTTATTAATTAATTAATTAATGCTTTTTAACTTTAAGCCAATTCACTACCTTGTGGCCAAAAACACACAGTAAAATAATTGTAAATACACTTAAACACACACATACAAATGAAGCAAAATACAGTCACTGGAGCAGTCTTGATGTCTGAGGTATTACCCAGAGTTGTTTGCCTCACAACCCAGAAAATTAAGGAGCGTAGACACCAAGGGTGAGGTTGGCGCAAATGTTTAATAAGTGAGAGAGGAAAGCTCTCCACAGCAGAGGGGTGTCTGGGAGGGTTGCTGTTTCACACTTCAATACAAAAACTTATAAACAAGCTAAGGGAGCACATTTGCATAGGGCACAAAAAAACATTTAGGGCTGGGTGTCTTATTTGCATAAGGTGCAAATTCTTGTTAGCTCCACCCCATTCCTCTAGTGCATATGTGGGTCCTTAGCCTGAGTTACTACGTATTGTTTTATTTTCCTTACTGCACATGGATCAGGAGATGGAATTTTCCACTGTGGACATGTCTGACTCTATGTAACCTTTTTTATCTACACAATTGCAGGCCAGTCTTAGGCAAGCCCCCTTGTGCAAATTCCCTTATCTGTGTATGCCCAAAAAGGAAAGGAATGTGCTCACTGAAGCCCACCATGTATAGGCAGAGCTCGCTGGTTGCACAAAAAAACAAAAGTGTTGACCCCTGCTTACTTATCTGTGCTTGCAGCTTGATTTATTCCAGGCTGCTCTTTTATTGGAGGGACTTCTACTGGTAGCCCCGTCCTAACTATCTGCCTAATCAGTTCCTTCCTGTCTCCTCTCTCACAAATTTATGCAAACAAGGATTCTATAGCTTTTCTTTCAAACTCTGATGAGATTAGTAAAAACTCACCCTTTTGCCAGAACAATAACAACAATAAATGCTTAGATGCACACAGTGTATTTTATCTCAACAGAAAAGTAATAGCAGATATAATGCAGACAGAAAACAGAGAGATAGAGAACTTAGGAACTTTATAGTTGCAGGTCAACCTTTGGCCTCTGGATTTTCCTTGATGTAATTTGACCATCAGTTTAACATGTGCACAAGAACAGACCTAATGTGTAACCAGCTGGAGTATTAGAAAACCTGGCACTTCCTTCCATTTACACAATCACAAATTGAGTCGCTGTAAAAACAAATGGGGTACCTGAAAATGCGTCATTCTCCTTGTCTTTCCTCATTATCATGTAAACCAAAAATAAAATTCTAAGCCCCTCCCAACCATCTGAATGAACTTCCTCCTCAGCCAGGGCTCTTAAAATTTAACCTGAAAGACTGGTTTAGGCCATGAAGGCAAGTGGGGATCAGACAAGCCTCATTATACCTCTCTGGCATTAACATCGATACAGACTTTAAGTCTGATAAGAAATATTTCACATCCTATTCTCTCTGAAGCCTGCTAGCTAAAAGCTTGATCTGCATAGTGAAACTTTCGTCCCTACCACCTCTTATCACAACCCAGACATTCCTTTATATTGATCCCAGGTCTTTAGACAAACTCAACCAATTGTCAACCAGAAAATGTTTAAATTTACCTATAGCCTGGAAGGCCCCCTGCTTCGAGTTGTCCTGCCTTTCTGGACCAAACCAATGTATTTCTTAAATGTATCTGATGGATGTCTCATGCCTCCCTAAAATGTATAAAACCAAGCTGCACCCCGACCACTTTGAACACATGTTCTTAGGATCTCCTGAAGGCTGTGTCATGGCCATGGTCACTTATATTTGGCTCAGTATAAATCTCTTCAAATATTTTACAGAGTTTGACTCTTTTCATTGATACGTAGATTATTTGTTTCCCACTTTTCTTAATGGAAAAACTGAGCTGTGGCTTAAGGTTTACTGTTGTTGATCAAGATGTGCTGATTGTGGTTGGGACTCCATAGTTTGTCACCATTGACTCATTTCTGCCTTCTTATGTGCCTCAGTTTCTTTCTCCAGAGGTCTAGCCCCTCCAAGAGACCTCGAAATGCAGTGTGACCAGCTCCTGTGTGTTTCCTGGATGAGGCTTTTAAAAATAATTTTGTTGGGTGTTCCCTGTGAGACCACTGCATGTTGCAGTGGGTCAATCTCCCAGACATTCCCACTGGGCCCCCAGTCACCAAGGAGTGCCTTTCAGTTGTGAGGAGCAAAATGTCCTTTCTTTTTGGGACACGCATGACAATTGAAACTCCACAATGAAAACAGAACACTCCAAAAAGGGTTAGTGGCCCCTCTGTTCTGAGTTCTTTAAGGGGTTCAAGTCATTAGAAACCTTCTCTCTATATGTTTTTGGTACTGAAAATGGTAAAAGGGGAAGGAGAAATAGGGTGGAAGAAAAGTAAACAAAAGAACTATTTTTTTTTTAAAGAAAGGAAACAAACACAGAAATCAAGTGCATTTTTGTTAGTTTTTTACAGCTGCAAGGAATTTTAGCCAATTCAGGGACCTTGTTCCCCATAATTTGGAATTCTCATTCAGATTTGACCAAGTCACGCAGGGTTGGTCAAATCCAATGGGAGAAAGGCCAGACCAACAACAACAAAAATCCCGACAATATGATTACTGAGCACTCTAATGGTTAGGAGAAATTAAGACCAACTGGTTGTCCATTTTAACTTTTAGTCATGAAGGAGAATTTCCAAGACCAAAAAAAAACCAATTTAGCTACTTACCTAGGCATGGGCCCCAACTAAAGACCGTTCTCTACTATCTTTGAAGCAGGAAAGAAAAAAAACTCAAACTCCCCTCCCTGTTGGAAATTAGCTGAAACTCCAGAGAGGAGTTCTCTATTCTCTATCATCATGGAAGCAGGAAAACTTGCCTTCCTGTTGGAAGCAAATAAAAACTCCAGAAAATGAATTGTACAGCAAAATAAACTGTAGATCTTGACCAAATTTGGGGAGATGATGGATTCTCTGGAAGTGGTGGGGGGAGCTCCCAGACCTCTGCAAATTGTCCTATTGGTTTGAGACTTAAAGATAGCTCAAGCTGGTACCAAACAACAATAGGAGATTTGTCAAAAGTCAGTGGAAGCTCCACTCAGACTTCCTTAATGGTTATCCATTTGTAAACCAAAAGTGTCTGAGACATGTCTCAATCAATTTAGAAAGTTTATTTTGCCCAGGTTAAAGATGTGCCCCTGATAGCCTCAGAATGTCTGATGACATGTGCCCAAGGTGGTCAAGGTACAGCTTACTTTTATACCTTTTAGGGAGACATAATACATCAATCAATACCTAAAAGATGTACATTGGTTCAATCTGGAAAGGTGGGCCAATTTGAAGTGGGGACTTCCAGGTTATAGGTCGATTTCTCTGATTGACAATTGGTTGAGTTATTATCTAAAGACCTGGAATCAGTAGAAAGGAATGTCTGGGTTATGATGATAAAGGGGTTGTGAAGACCAAAGTTTTATCACACAAAAGAAGCCTCCAGGTAGCAGCCTTCAGAGATAATAGATTGTAAATGCTTTAAAATCAGACTTAAAGGCTGTGTTGTTGTTAATACTGACTGGCTTTTCCTGAATTCCAAAAGGCAGGAAGGTCTGATGTCCCCTTCACATAATGACCTGAACTAGTGAACTAGTTATTTTGTTTTTGTTTTTGAGACAGGGTCTCACTGTGTCACTCAGGCTGGTTAGTGCAGTGGTGCAATCTTGTCTAACTGCAACCTTTAGGCTCAAGTGATTCTCCCACTTCAGCCTCCTGAGTTGGGACTACAGGCATTCACCACCCCTTCCTGCTAACTTTTGTATTTTTTGTAGAGACAGGGTTTCACCATGTTGCCCAGGCTGGTCTCAAACTCCTGAGCTCAAGCAGACTGCATGACATGGCCTCCCAAAGCACTGGGATTACAGGTGTGAGCCATTGTACCCAGCCCATGAACTAGTTTTTCAGGTTAACTTTGGAATGCTCTTGGCTGAGAGGAGGGGTCCATTCAGGTGGTTGGAGTGCTTAGAATTTTGTTTTTGGCTTATATTTTTAAAATAAGCATGGTTGGGATACTCAATGACATAAGGACTATGCTTATTCTAAAAATTATAAAAATATTACACAAAAATAGCAATAAAATATTAAAGAAGTTACAGGTTGAATATATAATATAAAATAGTTTGAATATGATAAAGAATCAAATCAAATTGAAATATGGGAAGCAAAAATATCATTAAAATAAAAAATCAATGGGTAGGGTAAACTATAAATGCAGCAGGACGAGCCACAGACAAAACCTCTCAGACACCGAGTTGTAGAAGGAAGGGCTTTATTCAGCTGGGAGCATTGGCAAGCTACTGCCTTAAAATCCAAGCTCCCCGAATGCACAATTTCTGTCCCCTTTAAGGGCTCACAACACTAAAGATTTCACAGAAAGGGTCATGATTGATTTGAGCAAGCAGGGGGTACGTGACAGGGGCTGCATGCACCAGTGGTCAGAGTGAAACAGAACAGGGCAGGGAGTTTCACAATGTTCTTCTATACAATGTCTGGAATCTATGAATAACATCGGTTTCTAAGTTATGAGTTGATTTTTAACTACTGGGGTTAGGCCAGGCAGGCCCAGGCCTGGTTTTGGGCCTGGCGCCAGGCTGCCTGTCTTTGGTTTTACTTCCTTGTTTTTTTCTTAAAACAGGTACTGAGTATAAAACAATATGAGAGGGTCTCTCTCTTCCCTCAGAAACAGAACACCACTGAACACATATATTACTGACTTTGAAGATAGCATTCAACACTTCATCTGCTAAGCAGAAAAGAAAAAAATAGGCAAAATACAAGCAGTTAAGATACCCATAAGGTCTATTCAGACCTTTTAACTTAAACTTCAATAACTATTATCTAGAAATATTTGTTTTAGAATATAAAGAATGCAGGCAATGGCAGGGAAGGAAGATTTGATAAGATATTAGCTGAGAATTTTCTAACATTGAAGAAAGACATATTAAAATTAACACTGCACTTTGAGTACCAACCAGGGTAATAATAATAATAATAATAAAATGATAGCATAATAGATCCATAGCTAGATATATAATACAAAAATTTCAGGAAAACGACAATTTAAAAAAGTCTTAAAGGTTACAAGAAAGAAAATTCTGTTTATCTAAACATGAATGACAATTTCACAAATAGTATATATCTCATTATCAACAAGAAAGGCCAGGGAAAATGGGATAATAGCTTCAAAGTGGCAAGAAGAGAATTCCACACCAGTGAAATTTAATTTAAAAAGTAAGGGAATATAGGATGCTTTTAGAAATAAAAAGACTAAATGAACTTGTTGCAAACCTTTACAACATTGACTTCATTTGTAAGAAAGATTCTAAATGAATGCCATTTTTTCCTTCCTGTGAGTGAATTTCAATAAGGAGTTTACAAGAAGGTTTGCTAGTACTCAAAACTTTCCTTGGGCTCCTCAAAATTTTTTTCCTTCCCAGGGGTAATTACCCCAAGTTGTCCAGTCTGTTCTCAGGACCTATGCCTTGGTGTGGTTGGTTCAGTGGGGAAAGGATCCCTGACTGAGTTACCCCCACCTCAGGTGCAGAATTTAGACATTTCTCTCACTAACCAGATTCTTTTCTGTTTACATTCATGCCTCTTTTTCTGTCTGTTTGTTGTCTTTAAATTTTCATTTTTCAGAATTGTTTCTATGCCTCCCTTCTCTTACTCAATATTTTGTCTTAACATGTGAACCTTGGAATCACCTGGAGCACTTGTTAAAATGTATCTTACTACATCTAGCCAAACATATATTAAATTAGCATGAGGAAGAATGAAACTTATAAATCTGCTTTTTTAGCAATCAATGAAGATAATTCTAATTTATACTAGAGTTTGAGAGGTGCTACTTTTATAAACTTTTAGCATTCTCATGTATAGCTCTGCTTTTGACTAATAACAATTCATTGAGTCATAAAATTTATATCAAAATCAAACCTTTGTTTTCAGTTCCATATGAATATATTCACATGCTAATTGGTCATTTCAATATAAATGTCCGATTGACCTAAAGTTAGTGCATCCAAATTTGAATCCATTTCCTTAGCCCTTTATTTATTGTTGTTGCTGAGCAAAATCTGAGTCACTTTAAAGTTTTCTCTTTCCACATACATTTGTTTCCACATTTTCTGTCATTCCCAAGGCCATCTATCCTGAGCTAGAGCCATTGCTTACTAGCCTCTACACATGTCCTGTTCTGTCACATTTTTGTACTTTTGCACACTGTGTTATTATAAGAAAAAAAAAAAACATACTTTGTTTCTGCCCCTGGTTCCTGACATGCAACTCCTAAAACCATTGGAATCTCTTAAGTGATAAGAGTGCTTTTGGTATGCTAATGAGATGACAGGTGGCTGGGGCCCCCTAAGTAGCTTTAGGATGTGGGCTTGTCACCAGAAAGACCAGGGCATGATTAAAGGGTTGAGACTTTCAACCCCATCCCCCAAACTCCAGGGAGGGAAGAGGGGCTGAAGGTTGATCACCAATGGCCAATGATGTAATCAGCCAGGCATACATAATGAAGCTTCTATAAAAACACAAAAAGACAGCATTCAAAAAACTTCCAGGTTACTGACGGCATGGAGATTCTTGGAGGG